>NC_000013.11:68559621-68711136 GCF_000001405.40 Homo sapiens | reverse complement strand
GAAAGTAAGAAATTAGGTAGTGTTTTTACAGTATTTTTTCAATAATTCAGGTGGGAAAGGAGGGTGGCTTTCCCATACTGATTACAGCAGTAGAAAGTGGCAGGATTCTGGATTTGGAACAGAAGACACGAGGTGAGAAAAATTCCAAAATGGCACAAATGATTTGGACTTCTGAATCTAGAAAGAAAGAATTTCTATTTACTGAGATGGGAAAATCTCTGGGAAGAGAAGATTTGAAAGAGGTTTCAGACATATTAGGTTTGGATACCTTATCGAAATCTAATCGGAGACAGTAAGTAGCTAGTAGACTATGACTCAAAAGTTTAGGAAAAACCTCCTGGCCGGGGAGACATATTTGGTATTAGTAGCATATACATGGTGTTTAGAGCAAATAAAGCATGATTTGTAAGAAATTCCATTTGTCTTCATCTCCACTATCTACCCATTTTAAAGAAAATTTCATAATATTGACATTGATAATATTAATTATCCAAAAGATGATTATAAATTTTAGTGTTTTAAATCTTTACTTTCATTAAAATAACTGTGTTATTTATAATTACACTTAAGCTGAAATTATAAAATCCAGACAGGTTAACTAACTGGCCTGTGGGTTTCAACAAATAGGAAACAATACTGAAACATGTAGTCAGATTGCATACCTTGATCTTTCCAAAGCGACCTATAAAACATTTTACTTCATAGCCCCGGCAGGAGAAATAAGCATTTCCTCTATTTATCTATGATTGCATTATGACACTGCTATTACAATTGTCTTGCTTAAAACTGCTAGAGATTAAGCTTCTTAAATAAAATGTATGTATATCAAAACGTGTATATATATGAGTGTGTGTATATATGTACACATACATATAATCTGTGATCCAGAACAACAGTTTAAATATTTCCTGAGAAAGGAATTTTGATGTATCCAGCTATCATTGTGATTTTTTCTATTTATTTTTAGATATTACAGTTTTTACTTTACTTATTTTTAAGCTCAGTTGTTAGATGTATATGCATTTAGGATATTTATGTCCTTTTGAAAATCATTATATATATATATATCCCCCTTTAAATATGAGAATATTCTGTGTTCTGATGTCACTTTGTCTGAAATTAAGATAGTTATTTTAGTTTTCTTTTGGTTACTGACATATATACATATGATATATGGCATATATATAATATATAGATATTAAACTCAAATTCATTTTCAAATTATACATTAGCTCGTGGACTACAGACATTACTTCCTCTCATAGCAACATGATGAGTACTGGCTAGCCAAACTAAATCTAGCCTTACCACCAACTATCAACCTGACTGGAAAACTATTGGTAGTTACAGAATTCTTTTCATGATCTAATTTTACCATTCTAATAGGACTTAATGTATTAATTACAGCCTTATAGACCCTCTCTATATAAATAACATAATGAGGAAAATTTGCATATTACATTAATAATATAAGACCACCATTTACACAAGAAAATGCTCTTATATTATTCAGATTCTACTCCTATTATCACTTAAGCCCCAAATTATCATATGACCCATATATTGTAAATATAGTTTAAATAAAGATTAGATTGTGAATCTAATAATAGAACTTTAGAAACTTCTATTATTATGAGAAAGTATCTAAGAATTGCTAATTCATGTCTCCAAATTAGCAATATGCCTTTGCCAACTTTTATAGAACAGAAGAAAACCTTGGCCTTAGGAGCCAAAAAATTGGTGCAATTCCAAATATCAGTAATAAATTTTTTATTTTCGTCTATCTTAATGTCACTATCCATTTTAATCTAACCAATTGCCGTAATTATTAACAATGTTTACAAAATACTACTTAGCCACACTACATAAAGCCTTCTACATTATAAGCTTTCTTTCTGGTGCCCACAATTTCATCAGGTTCTGAGAGTGGCATTTAAATAGAGAACTGTTATCTTTTATTGTAACTTGTTATCTTATTCAGGACTCTTTTCTTTCCTATCTTCCATGTGGATGACGTCAAAACATATGCGCAGGTCCTTCTCCCAACTCTCCTTTAATCTAGCAGCTTTCAGATAAGAAAGAAGGACATGGTTTTTGTAAGTAGGCCAGTTCTTCCTTGTGGGAAAAACTGTATTTTTCCTTAAGTTATGGGAAGTATTGTTATTATTAATATTGCAATCAGAGGTTCTAGAAGGGACATGGAACCAGTGAAAATATGACAAAGAGGCCATTTGTCCTGATTCATTTTGTTTCATTTAACCCACTTTGTTACTCTAGGAGATGCAGATTAACTACCCGTGTCCTAGTGATGGAATATTTTTTACTGCTTAGCTCAGCTAGGTCCGGGTTCTTGTCTCATGACCTAGAAGAAACAGGAAGGGAGACGTCGAAGAGTCAGTGGAGAAGCTCTCAGCAGAGAGAGGGGTCCTGAAAGCAGGTTCCCGGTTGCCCCCTTCACAGTTGAATTCAAGGGCTTTTACAAAATACAAGGCCGATGAGGCTGGTTTCCTTTTTTGCACAATGCGTGAATTCCTGGTGGCGCGATCTCATCCCCCAGTGCGCATGCGGGTCCTCAGTCCGCTGCGGGCATGTTTAGGCAAGCACCCTGTGCATGTTCCCTTATCTGCCCAAAACATCTGGTGTAAGCGCTTGTGGGGTAGGTCCGAGGTTTTCCAGGGCACCCTTCCCTTACTGTCTGCCTAAAGCAAGCTGGCTAACTCCTTTCACTAGCAAACAGAAACGTATGGATTGCCTCAAATTTACTGTGACTGTACATATTTCTCAGGGAGAATGTTAACAAAAGCAGTACAGAAATTATCTGATGGCAATATAATTATAATGATTGCTAAAGTATAGTTAACATATAATATGTCCCATGCTCAGTGCTAAGAACTTTGCGTGAATTATGTGGTTTATTCTTAACAACAAACCTAAGAAATGGGTATTATTAGACATATAGAAAGGAGAAAACTGAGCTTTGGAGGAAATAAAAGTGTTGCGCATGTTTACACAAATAAGAAGCTGTGGATCTGGGATTCAAATCTGTAAAGCTTGATAATGGAAAGCGTGTTTTTAACTCATGTATAAAATACCTGCATCTGCACAAATACCTACACTTATATTTGTGTCAATATCTTTCAACAGCTAGATACACAAATACGTGTATGTGTATTTGTGTGTCATAACATAAAGACAACTATTTGTCAATAATGTCCTTTGTACGATTTTGCAAGTTATCTTGTGAGGAAAATAAAATTCTAATATTTATTTTTTAAAAGAAAAGAGTACAGTGAAATGAAGTTCCAGAATTAAAGAAGTGAACTTTTCAGAATTTCACACTTACAGAAAACTGTAACTTTGCTTTTGAAGGGAAATCAGTTTCAATCCCTTCACTTGAAATATGCTATTGTTGTGACTGCAACAGTTAAATGATTCATCTAGTTTGGAACCCTTAATTAGTGATAACTAATTGCTGGTTTTCTGAGCCATGTTTCAAACCGTTTTGATTATTAGTAGTAGGCCATTTTTATCTTGTTTTATCACAAAGGTAACTACATTTTCTAATAAATTTTACTGGGAATATTGAATTACAGATGGACAAACTGTAACTAAGCTACTAGTAGTTGAGCACACTGTTTAAACTGCATTGTAACCAAACACAAATAATATGAGGAGATGGTTTGATTCTAGACCAAATAGTCATGAAGAAAAATTTTTCTGCACTAAAGGACCAGTGCTAAAATATACAGGAGTGATAAACTCTGAAGAAATAAATGATGAGATGTTAAGTGACTGAGCTAAACCATGCCTTTATGTATGCATATCATTTCAGATAGCTTCCCAAGTAAAATAAGGTTTTTTTTTCAGACATGTAAGTATTAAAGTAATAAAACCATTAATAGGAATGGGATATAAAACATGTGATTTTATATTTTTACATGAAATTAATTAACATATGTTTTCTAGGTAGTACAAAAAAGTTTTAGAATAAAATATATGTCTAATTTTTGATGGTTGATTTTTAAATGGGAACATCTGCTAACAATCCCTTACGATCACCCTTTTCAAACTGCTAAAGAAAAAAGTTAATTTGAAATTGAACTGCAAAGAAAATATCTAAATAACACAGTTGTAATATATTTAGGAATATCTTCTCAGTCAATAAGGTGCTCTGTAAAGATATGAGCTACTAAGACAAATGGAATAATTCTTTCATGGCATTAGGGAACCAAGAATTAATTAATGTTTGACTTCATAATTGACTTTGAGATTATTAAAAGGTCCACAATATGTTTGATTTTAGGAAACATATTTGTTGTCTAAGAATAAACTTCAACCATCTTAAAAAATAATGTGGCCTAAAAATGTGAAAATTTAAGTCAGAAAAACAATACATTTCACACTTCCTTTAGATTTTATAGCAAGAGAAGACATACATGCAGCCAACAATCATATGAAAAAAAAAGCTCAACATCACTGATCATTAGGGAAACGCAAATCAAAACCACAATGATAGACCACCTCACACCAGTCAGAATAGCTAGTATTATTTAAAAGTCCAAAAATAATAGATGCCGGCGAAGTTGTGGAGAAACAAGATGCTAATATGTTGTTAATGGGAGTGTAAATTAGTCCCAACTATTGTGGAAGACAGTGTAGCAATTCCTCAAAGAGCTAAAAGCAGAACTACCATTCAATCCAGCAATCCCTTACTGGGTATATATCCAAAGGAATAGAAATCATTCTATTATGAAGACACATGCATGCATATGTTTATTGCAGTGCTATTCACAATAGCAAAGACATAGAATCAACCTAAATGTCCATCAGTGACAGACTGGATAAAGAAAATGCAGTACATCTACACCATGGAATACTATGCAGCCATAAAAAAGAACAAGATCATGTCCTTCACAGCAACATGAATGGAACTGGAGGCAATTGTCATTAGCAAACTAACATAGGAACAGAAAACCAAATATCACATATTCTCACTTGTAAGTGGGAGCTAAATGATGAGAAAACATGGACACATAGAGAGGAAAAACACACACTGGGGCCTACCAGAGGATGGAGGGTGAGAGGAGGAAGAGTATCAGGAAAATAACTAATGGATACTAGGCTTAACACTTGGGTGATGAAATAACCTGTACAATAAATCCCCATTACACAAGTTTACCTATGCAACAAACCTGCACATATGCCCCTGAACTTAAAATAAAAGTTTTTAAAAAAATATTTTATAGCAAGAAATGAAATTGCAAACAAGGTGGGATGAGTCCATCCATGGTAATCTAACCTGTTTGGATAAACTTAATTTTGTTTCTGTTTCTTCATATAACTCGGCAAATAATGGGAGGGCTGTGCTGTTCAATGTCTTCCTTCCAAGATTTATGGAGGTGGAGGTTGAAGGATGTCTATAAAAGCAGAGGGATGTGCAGACACATCCTACTTTATCTGTGTGTTATTTCAAGTTATGTATTAGCTCTTGGTTCAGGTTAACATCAGAAGGATGTGTGCAAGTAAAGAAAAAAATGGTTAATAATGATAAACAATATAGCCAACATTTGCTCTAAAAAGTAGTAATGTTTATGCAAATGATATATGAGAAGTAAAAAATAATAAAATAATACCATAATTTCTTTGCACATTTCCTTTCACCATAAATATTTTTTTGGGCTCAAGAACACAACTAGACTACTTTCCTCACTGTCTGTCACAGCTACTTCCTTAACTTATGTCTTACTGAATTTGTTTTTGTATTGATTATAAATTATCTTAATATTCTTATTTCCAAAATCCTGTGTGGAATTCAATAGAAACCCCAAGAGAATTGTGTCTCTGATTTTTGTTAAATCCCCTTGGTCCTCAATAATTTTTTTGCTTAATCTTGTGAAAACTTAGAGTTGTATAACTGAAAACGATTTTATTTTTAGTGCATTTATATTTTATTTATTTTCAGCTCTATTGAGGTATAATTGACAAAAATTGTGTGTATCTAAGGTGTACAACTCGATTATTCAATATACATATATATAGCAAAATAAATACCACTGTCAAGTTAATACATCTATTACCTCACATGGTAAATTAGTGTAACTCTTTTAGCAAATTTCAAGTACATAATACAATACTATTAACTATAGTTACCTTGCTGTTTATTAGATCCCCACAAATTATTCATCTCATAACTAAAAATTTAACTTTAACCACCCTCTCCTCACGTCTCTAACCCATGGCAAGAACCATTGTATACTCTATTTCTGTAAGTTCAATTATTTTAGATTCCACATATAATGAGACCACACAGTATTTTTCTCTGAGTATCTCACTTATTTCACTTAGTATGATACCCTTTGAGTTCTTCAAAGTTGTGTAAATGGCAAGACTTCCCTCTTTTTTATGACTGAATAATATTCCATTGTATGTGTATACCACATTTTCATTATCTATTCCTCTGTCGATGCACCCATAGATTGTTTTCATATCTTGGCTCTTGTGAATAATTCTGCAGTGAAGTCAGTGTTACAGCTATGTCTTTGAGATAGGGATTTTATTTATTTAGACATATATCCAGTAACGGAATTGTTGGATCATATGGTAGATCTATATTTTTGAGAAATGTCCTCCATACTGTTTTTCATAATAGATGATCAATCAATACTCCTGCCAACAGTGTACAAAGATTTCCTTTTTTTTTCTACACTCTGGCCAAGACTTGCTATCTTTTTGATAAATAATATCATTTCTTACTGTGTGAGGTATTATCTCACAGTGGTTTTGATTTGCATTTAATTGATGATTAGTGAATATGAAAACTTTTAATGTACCTACTGGCTAATTGTATGTCTACTTTGGAAAAGTGTCTACTCAGATATTTTGCCCATTTAAAAATTGGGTTATTTATTTTCTAGCTATTGAATTATCTGAGTTTGTAAAATACATTTTGCAAATAACCCTTTATCGGCTGTATGGTTTGCCAGTATTTTCTTGTATCCTCTAGATTACCTTTTCATCTTGTTCATTGTTTCATCTGCTGTGTGGATGCTTTTTAGTTTCATCTAGTCCCACTTGTTTATATTTAAATCTTTAATCCATTGTGAGTTAATTTTTGTATGTGATGCAAGATAAGAATCCATTTTTATTCTCTTGCATGTGGTATGCATTTCCCTTAATGCAATTTACTGAAGAGACTATCTTTTTCTAATTATTCATACTTGGTGCCATTTTCAAAAGTTAGTTGACCATATATGCATGGGTTTTTTTCTGGGCTCTGTATTTTGTTTCATTGGTCTATGGTCTGTTTTATGCTGATAACATATTGTTTTGATTACTATAGTTTTGGAATATAGTTTGAAATCAGGAAGTTTGATATCTCCAGTTTTGTTCTTAAACAAGATTGCTTTGGTTATTTAGGGTCTATTTTGGTTCCACGCAAATTTTAAGATTTTTTTTTTGGCCGGGCGCGGTGGCTCACGCCTGTAATCCCAGCACTTTGGGAGGCCGAGGCGGGTGGATCATGAGGTCAGGAGATCGAGACCATCCTGGCTAACAAGGTGAAACCCCGTCTCTACTAAAAATACAAAAAATTAGCCGGGCGCGGTGGCGGGCGCCTGTAGTCCCAGCTACTCGGGAGGCTGAGGCAGGAGAATGGCGTGAACCCGGGAAGCGGAGCTTGCAGTGAGCCGAGATTGCGCCACTGCAGTCCGCAGTTCGGCCTGGGTGACAGGGCAAGACTCCGTCTCAAAAAAAAAAAAAAAAAAAGATTTTTTTTTATTTCTGTAAAAGATGCCACGGGAATTTTGTTGGAATTGCATTGAATCTGTAGATTGCTTTGGGTAGTATAAGCATTTTAACAAGTATAATTGTTTTAATTCATGAACATGTGATATCTTTTCATTCATTTGTGTCTTATTTTTTTCATCAATGCTTCACAGTTTTCAGTGTGCCAACCATTAATTTCCTTGGTTAAATTTATTCCTCACTATCTTTTGTTTCTGGTGCAATTGTAAATGAGATATTTATAACATTTTGTTTTCAATAGTGGGTCCTAAATGCAACTGTTTTCTTAAAGATTGATTTTGCATCTTGCAACTTTAATGAATATTTTATTAGTGTTTACAGTTGTTTTTTGGTGCAGTCTTTCAATTTTACTATACATGAGATTATGTTGTATGCAAACAGGGAAATTTCATTTTTTCTTTCCAATTTGGATACCTTTTATTTCTTTCTCTTGTTTGATTACTCTTGCTACTACTTCCAGTACTATGTTGAATAGAAATCATGAGAGTGTGCATGTTTTTCTTGTTCATTATCTTAGAGGAAAAGCTTTCAGCTTGAGCAAGCGGTAAGCTGCGAGATTGACATGTATGGCCTTTGTTGTGTTGAGGTACATTCCTTCAATACTTAATTTTTTCACAGTTTCATCATGAGAAGATATTAGATGATTTTTCTGCATCTGTTGAGATTATTGTATGACGTTTTTATTCTTTATACTGTTAACATAGCGGATCACATTTATTGATCCACGTATGCTGAACCATTATTTCACTTCAAGAACAAATCCTGGTGTATGATACTTTAAACATGTTGTTGAATTCAGTTTGCTCATATTTTGTTGAAGATTTTTGCATCTATGCTCATCAAAGATATTCATGTGTATTTTATTTTCTTGTAGTGTTCTTTCCTGGTTTTAGCATAAGGATAATACTGACCTCATTAAATTAGTTTGGAAGTGTTTCTTTTTTACAATTTTTAAAGAAAAGTCCTAGAAGGATTAGCATGAATTCTTCTCTAAATGCTTGGTACAATCAATCTCCGAAGCCAACTGGTTCTAGATTTTTCTTTGGAGATATTTTGATTACTACTTGGATATTCTTATTACTGGACTGCTTATATTTTCAACTTCTTCAAGATTCAGTTTTGGTAGGTTGTTTGTTTCTAGGAATTTATTCATTTCTGTTAAGTTATTCAATTTGATGGTGTGTAATTGTTCACACTAGTCTTGAGATTCTTTGCATTTCTGTGGTATCACTTGTAATAGCTCATCTTTCAGATTTAATTTTATTCATCTGAGTGCTCTCTTGTTTTCTTGGTTACTCTAACTAAATTTTTTTTAGTTTTGTTTATTTTTAAAAATAACTTACTTTTTTATCTTTTCTATTGTCTTGGTAGTGCCTATTCTATATTACTGCTCTGATTATTAGTATTATTCTTTTTTTCTTCTTACTAACTTTGGACTTAGTTTGTTCTAACTGGCTAATTTTAAATATATCTGTCTTTAAGTTGACTGATTATTTCTTCTGTTTAATTAATTTTGCAGTTAAGCTATTTAAGTTTTCATTTATTGTATTCTTCGAGTCCAAGATAACTGTTTGTTTCTTTTTCATGGTTTTAATTTTCTTAGTAACTATTCATTTTGTTTGTAAACTATTCATTTTCACTGAGCTTCTTTAAGATTTATTTTGAATTCTTATTCAGACAATCCATAGATCTCCATTTTTTGGAGGGGTGGTTACTGTGGCTTTATTGGTGACCATTTATGGTGTTGTGTTGGCCTGATTGTGAATGATACATGGAGGCTTTTGTTGAGATATGTGCATCTGTGCATTGGAAGGAGCTAACACCTCTTTCAGTCTTTAAATAGTAATTTCAGCAGGTAAAGTTCTTCTCTTGTTGAGTCCAAAGACTTATGGACTTTTCTCCAGGATTACAGTCAATCAGGGTTGGAGATTGATTACATGGCTGCTGTTGGGTGCACAGTGAGATCCACACATGGGGTAGCCTGTTATCATGGGCTTAGGCCAGCATGAATTCTTTTTGTCCCTGAGCACATAAAATTGACTCTAGAACCCTGGTCACTAGGGTTGACAACAGGGCAATGTTCTGTTTCAGAGTCTCCAGTTAGGTTTGCATACTGCATGCTTGTTACCAGGTGCATGAATGGGTTAGGCTTCTGCCACAGCCATGGAGCGGCTCCTATTGGGTCACTAGATGGGTCTCTGAGAAGGCTGACTGACCCTAGACTGCAAATGAGAAGGGCTGGATCTAAGTCACAGGGCTGCTTCAGGTTCCATAGCCAAGACAGCAGTCTGCATGCCTGCCTCTGTGGCATGGACAGGCATGCCTAGTACTGGTTCCTGAGCAGAAAAGACTGATCCTGGACCATAGCTATGAAGGGCTAGTTGTGGGTTATAGGGCTGCTTCAAGCTCCATAGTTGGACCCAGGTTAGTATGCCAGCCTCTGGGGGAATGATTTTAATTTTCAAGATCACAAATGGAAATGTTTAGCCTAAAAACTGTAACTAATTAGAATTTCAAATGCTTAAATATACAAAGATTGTTTTCAAATGTAAATATTTTTGTATTTATGCCACTTACATTTTTAGCCAGTCAATTTTATTGTGATTTAATATTTTTTTAAATTTATAGGGTTTTGATTGTATTATTATTGACTACAAATAATATTAGAAGGCAGACTTTTGCCTTTCTAATATATAGGCAGATTTTGTGAGCTATTACATACAATATTTTTTATTTGTTGGTAATAGAAAATGATGTATAATAACCAATTGTTGCCTGGGCTGAAATTCTGAAATTTTTGCTTTATATGCTATAAGAAAAAATCATCGATTGTACTGTGCTTTGGCATATTTTTTATCTTTTGTTAAATTGGCCTAAAATATTGGCCTGAAATATTCTGTGAGTTCACTTTTTAAACTTTATTTAAAAATTTTTGTGTATACCAATAGTTGTTAATTATTTGTCAAAGTTATTCCATCCCATAAACTTCCTTTAAGTTTTGAATTTGTTTCTTGTAAACAGATATAAATAATGCTGTTATCTAATGCAAGATTACAACCTCTTCATTTAACCTAACATATTCATCTCTTATCCATTTTTCTGGATTAGTGATATATTTGGATTTGTTGCTACATCTAATTTTGTGCTTTTTACTCATCATATTTTGTTTTTAGTGTTGCTGTGTCTACTTTTTTACATGCAATTCAATACACAATGTAAATATCCCAAATTTCAATACAATTTAATTGATACCCATAGGACTGGGGGTTCTGGGAATGTAGTGGCTTATAAAAGGTTTATTCAACATATTCAAATATCTATACATAAAAGGAAATGTTTACTACAACCCATATCCAGCTGTTTATGAAAGAAGGCTCTTGTGTTTCTTCAAGAGAACTTGTGCATCTTTTTAAACATTCTTCATATATGTGAAAACATTTGGGAAACTCAGGAACAATTTGGAAATAGGCTGACACTCAGATGTATGGGAAATAAAAATAGGAAGTATAAACTTGGACATGCCTGAGTAAAAGTCTGTTTGAAACACAAAAGACTAAGAATAAACAGAACACATTGTCCAAATAATTCTCAATTCAGATATTATTAAAGCAAAAAAAGATGAGGAAGAAGTCTTCTAATGGGTTCCAATTTATTTACAAAATCCAATTAATTGAGAACGGATGACTTTTTATTACCTGAGTTCTGAAATAATTTGTACACCAAATCCCTGCAACATTCTATTTACATATATAACAAACCTACACATGTGTCCCTAAAACTAAAATAAAAGTTTTATAAAAAACACACTTTTAAGAAATGGAGAAAAATCTTAAGATTAAATTTACTTTCAAACACCGCATGTTCTCACTCATAGGTGGGAATTGAACAATGAGAACACATGGACACAGGAAGGGGAACATCACACATCGGGGCCTGTTGTGGGGTGGGGGAAGCGGGGAGGGATAGCATTAGGAGATATACCTAATGTTAAATGACAAGTTAATGGGTGCAGCACACTAACATGGCACATGTATACATATGTAACAAACCTGCATGTTGTGCACATGTACCCTAAAACTTAAAGTATAAAAAAAAGTACTTTCATATCTAAAAATTAAAGAAATTGACAGAAGATATATATATATATATATATATATATATATATATATATGAATATGTTATATACATTTCTCAGGGAAGCAATCACATATGTGGCAGCATATAATATATAAATGACTTATTTTATTATAGTATAGAAATGATTTATTTTATTATATTATTAGCATAAAATTTACCACTAGAACAATTACAACAATAAAATTACCAAAAGAAATACCAAAGAAAAGAGATATCTCTATTTTCAGGGATTTTTTGGAATCCACTTAAACTGTTAGCATCTAGAAGTGAACTGCTGCACTAATCTAGAAAGTCTTTGATCTATAATTGGTGTAAAAGGCAGTGAGAAACTGAACCCTTCTAAAGAGGAGACTCTAAAATGTATATCTGATGTCCATTTTTCCTAAAGAGGAACTGTTCAAGGAGGTGGCTTGACATTGCTTCATTTGAAGTGGCTAATAATTTGGCTAAATGACTGGAGATTTAGAGAAAACAAGACTAGAGGATTGCATTGTGCATCTTGGTAAATGAACTGCATAAGTAATTAGTGTCCCATCTGAATGTACACTCAACAATGATGAGGCCATCGACAATCAGGTGAGAAAGATGACTTATTTTGTGGAAGTCAGTCAGCCTCTTTCTCTGTATCCTAGCCTATGCTCAGTAAACTCAAAAACAAAGTCATTATGTTGTTAGGAGTGGAAGTATTTGTATAGATTCAACTGAATACATTTTTCTTCTCAAAGGCTGAAGTGATTCCAATATCCAAAAGCAGAGATCAATGCCGAAGGTCCAAAATGGTGTCATTTCTTAGAGGAGCAGTCATATAGGTGGCAGGGACTTATTGTAGATGGCTTTCATCATAGATGATTTTGTTTCACTGAAAAAGACATATACATTGGACACAGATGTGTGTCCTTTGCGAAAGTGCTCTGACAACCCTTCCTTCTGCTGACTTATGAAACCTTTATTTATATGGAGACCATAGGGAGAGGCATGGAACAAATTCTCCTTCACAGCTCTCAGAAGGAAACAAGCATGCTGAGCCTCCATCTTGAAATTTTAGCCTCCAGAACTATGAAACAATGAATTTCTGTTGTTTAAGCAACCCAGTTTGTTATACTTTGTTACAGGAGCCCCAGGAAACTAGTACAATAAGCAAAGATTTGAGACAGTACTAATCTTCTTTTACGTTTAATTATGAGTGGAAGGGTATTTAGAAATGCTGAGTGGCATGTTATTGCCTGTTTGTACTCATGACAATTTCCTCCTTTATAAGCATTTTACTATATTACAGGGGCTGGAAAGCTGTTTTGCCTGAAAGTTTCCAGTTTAAATTCTGCCGTTAAAAGACACTTGTGTAAAGAATTGGAAAGTGAAATAGAAGCCAGGTTTGCCCCTGCAGCCGTAGTGAGTAAGCACATTGGCTTTGACAGATGACAGATGTGAGGTTTTGCTGGTAGCTTATGGGCATCTTCTTCAAATCCCCCAGCTGGAGACTGCAGGCAGCTCATCTTATTCAGTGGCTCCTGGTGATATCTGCACTTCCTGATTAGTTGAACAGTGGTTATGGATTCCTTGACCTTCTTACCCCAACGTTTCTGACATTATTTTAAGACTGTAATTCCCTATATTACATCCCTGGCAGTTTGAAATACCTAAAGCCTTATCAGTTTTCCTAAACCAAATACACATCCCCTCAAACTTTATAAAATAAATTAGAATTTAGAAATAGGAATCCTCACATAATCCAAAAATAATGAAAAACTTTACAGAATATTACTATAAAAGCAAAATTGTATGACCTTTAGGATGAAACACCTATTTTATTCTCCAAAGACAAATAACTAATTGATGGTTTGCTTATTTTAGCTTCTCATTGTACTGTACAATTTTGTCAAATGACACATATCATAAAGCATTAAAGTGAGTGTCTTGTCAACTATGCGTTAATAGTTCACAGAGCCCCATGAATTAAGCCCAGTGGCAGGTTTTTATGTCTCCAAAGTGTTGCTGACTTATAAATGAGAAAATTTAAAAGCAGTAACCTAGTTGGCTAGAAAATATTTTACATGTTAGATTATTTCATGTGAAACAAACTGAGACTGCTGTCAAACTGATTTTATCTTCTAGAAAATTATGCTACATTTTCTATCACAATACAGACATCTATTATAGAAGCAAAGTGAATCTAGTGCATGGTTGTCATAAGATAATAACTACTCATGGGAATTATAGATACTTGGTTAAGTTTAGTATCTCTTACTGCCTTAGGGATGGGGTTATATTATGACAAACATAGCCCGCATCATTTCTTTTTAAAATATAATATTAGTATAGTATTTTAATACTATTTTATTTTAGATTTAAATTTCCACATTGGAGAATTCTAGCTATTCAAATATTTTAGAATGGTTCCTAAGCCGTTTATTCCTGCTATTACTACTATGCCTTTCATAAACTGAGCATTACATGGGGCATTTTTGTTAGCCTATACTCTCACCCAGGTGGCTGTGTTTTCCTTGAACTTCAGGATGTTAAGGTTGAAATTTATTTGGAGAATTATGTTCAGGATAAATCCTTCAGCAGTGCATATATTCAGGATTAGAAATAGCGGCTATTAAAAACTCATTTCCAAATAATTCCAAATTGATGATGCTAGGACATACCTGAGTGAGCCTGGGTGCTGTGTTGTTCGGATCCCCATTAAGTCTATATTCTCTCACAAACAAGTACTAAATTATCTTCAGGGCTTTGTATAATGTAGAATATATAGAATACATCCATGAGTCTGCATATTTATAATTAAGGCTGTTTTGTTTTAATCCCTGACACAGAGACTCCCATATCAAACTAGCATGCTTAGTGATGCTGTAAAAATATACTAATTAGGTAGGTTCTAAGTTAGGGAACCTTTAAGATCAAGTAAACACAGTACATCCCTTCTCTCCCACTGAATGCAGATAAAAATCCTAAACACAGCACGTGGGGGAGCTATGTAAGGACTGTAAAGCAGAGTGGCAGGCTGGTTGAAAAGATCAGAATTTGAAATATCATCATGGGCCGGGCATGGTGGCTCATGCCTGTAATCCCAGCACTTTGGAAGGCCGAGGCAGGTGGATCACCTGAGATCAGGAGTCCAAGACCAGTCTGACCAACATGGAGAAATGCCGTCTCTACTAAAAATACAAAATTAGCCAGACGTGGTGGCGCATGCCTGTAATCCCAGCTACTCGGGAGGCTGAGGCAGGAGAATCGCTTGAACCCGGGAGGCAGAGGTTGTGATGAGGTGAGATCGCATCATTGCACTCCAGCCTGGGCAACAAGAGCAAAACTCCGTCTCAAAAAAAAAGAAATATCACTGTCACTAAGTAGCAGTGAGTTTCCTCCCCAGCCAACCACCCTCACCAGTATTCCTCAACATGATCTCAAGGCAATCCAAAATCTTGGAAATGGACATCACAACAGTTAGAGAGAGTGCCAGAAGTAACCTCTGGTTCAGGCTCATGGTTGGAGAAAAGGATTCTTCTGGCAATGGTGAAAGTGGCAATAAGAATGTGTAGAACGGAAAACTGTGATTTAGAGGGAAAATCCTCCTCAGCTGAAAAAGCTGTACTGCCTGAAATTAGTACAAAGCCTATTGAAGTTTTTCTCTTTGTGTCTTCCTGCTGTTTGTTCCAGGATGAAGGTGTGATAAAGAAAATTGTGTGCTAGTTGAGGAGGGGCTGAATAAGGCCGCACATTTTTAGCTGAAGGACCTAAAAAAGGTTTTAAATAGTATCAGGAAGATGACGGAGAGAGAAGACCTAGGGAAAATAAACTCTTGGATTCACTCCCAACGGAGCATGTGTAAATCTACTTCTAAAAAAGCACAAAATTACTTTAAATACTAAACTAAGAGACAAACCAGTGCTCAGTCCCCAAAGTAGCTACTGACTGATGCACATGTGGAATAGGTCAGAATAGCACTTCAAAGTTTTTGAAACTTAAACATTGAAACCAAACATCAGAAAACCCTGGAAAGAAAGTGCCAGCTAAATACAACCATGTAGACTGCCTGATAAAACAAAAATGTCAACATTTTCCATAGAAACTAAATAAGGATCAGAACCTCATATCACAATATTCTAAGTGCACATGGTAAAACCAAAAATGCATACCAAAACAAGAACCAAGAAAATCTTTACATATATCACAAAAGAAAATCAGCAGACATGAATGACAAGACAATGCTGATGTTGGAATTTTATAAATAGCTTAAACATAGCTATTTATAAAAATGTCAAAATATTACTGGAGAAGACTCTTGAAGTAAATACAGAGGAAAATAATCTCAGCACAAAGATATACGTATATAAAATAGAACTGAAAATATAATAAGTATAAAAATATCTAACAGGTTGCGTAACACAGAATTGAGATAATTAGGTAATAGTTGCTTAAAAGTATTTAAAAGAAAAAATTTCAACAAGTAGAGAGACAAAAGATTGAAAAATAATTAGAGCATTAGAGACATGTGGGGCAATAACAAAATATCTAACTTTAGTTTCACTGAACTCCAAGAAGGAGAAAGAAATGTGTTGCAAAAAAAAAGGTTAAGCAATTAAGGGCTAAAAACACCCTATATTTGGTGAGAGACACAAACTTATTCATAAATGACATTCAGGAAAGATGAAAATAAGCTAATTACTTGGAATTATATAACCCACTTCTAAATTATTAACAGTTCAAAAAGGAACATTTCTAAGGCAAATTAGAAAATATTTTGAATTGGATGAAAATAAAAACCCAACATATCAAACTGTAGAATTCTGCTAAACTATGATTTTGAGGAAAATATATACCATTAAGTGATTATAAAAGAAAAGATAAAAGGTCTCCTAAGAGTGATGTTATATTCAACCTAAAGAAATACCAAAAGAAGAAAAGAGGAAGACAAACAAGACACGGAAATTGATGAAATTGAAAACAGAAAGCAGTAGAGAAAAATGAATGAAACTAAATGGTTATTTTATGAATAAATTTGATAAACTTCTAGAAAGACTGACTGAAAAAGAAATATACACATAACCAATATCAAGAATGATAGTGAGGATGTCACTACAGGCATCATAAGAGTTAAAAGTATTTTAAGGAATCGGGAGTGGCAGCACATGCCTGTAACCCCAACTATTTGGGGGATTGAGGCAGGAGGAGAATGGTTGGAGTCCAGGAGTTCTGGCCTGTAATGCTCTATGCTGATCCAATGTCTGTTCTAAATTTGACATTAATATACCACCAGGTTGCCTAAGAAGGAGTGAAGCCTCAGATTGAAAGCAGAGCAAGTCAAAACTCTCATAATGATCAGGAGTGGGACTGTTCTTGTGAAAAGCCACTGCACTTCAGCCTGGGTAACATAGTGAGACCCCATCTTAAAAACATAGAATAGAAGGAATGTTACAGACAGCTCTATGCAAATGTATTTGACAACTTAGATTAAATGAACCAATTCCTCACATCAATACTATTCAATGTTATACTGATATACTGAAACTTCAAGTGTATAAAATGACAAGAAAAATAAGTAAAACACATAACAATTGGAAAGGAAGAAAAAAACTGTTTCTATTTATAGAAAATATTAGCTACAAAGAAAACACTAGAAATATAGAAAGAAACTCCCAGAACTAATAAGTTCATTAAAATTATAGAAAACCAGTTCAACAATTTAACGTACACATATTAATAATATTCCTATATACTAACAGTGACCAATGAGAATCCAGCCTAAAAATACCATTTGAGCCAGCCAACTTAAATAGTTAAAAAGTTTTATTTTTAAAAATACTTAAGTACATTTTTAAAATAATAAAAGAAATAAATAAAAGATATAAATTTGTAGAGAGTCTGAGCTTATTGATTGATTCAAATATTCAACATAGTAAAGACGTCAATCCTCTCAAATTGGTCTACAGACTTAAACACAATATCAACCAAAATCCAAGCAGGATTACATTGTAAGTACAGGCAAGCTGATTCTAACTTATTTAATAGAAAAGCAGAGATACTAAAATAGCAAAGTAGTTTTAAAATAAAAGAATTTATAACTATTTGAATTTATAACGGAATATAATGCTACACTAAACAAGATAGCGTAGTATTGATGAAGGGAGAGACATATAGATCAATAGAACAAAACAAAGATTTCTGAGACTGCCACTCAAAGATGACTATTGATTTATGACCAAGGTTTGAAAACAAAAGACTACTGAGGTGGTCACCTTTAATAACAGCATGATGTTGGAACAAGTGGACATCTATGTGTATGCATTTGAAACTTAATAGCACTCTCATACTTTTTACAAAAATCAACCACAAAAATAATAGATATAAAGATAAAACATAAAATTATAAAAATGTTAGAAGAGATCATAGGAGACTTTTTTATGATCAGAGGTTAGGCAAAGAATTCATAAACATGACATCAATAGACAAATCATAAATCACAAATATATAAATTAAAATTGACCAAAAATTTAAACCTTTTTATGTGAAGAATCTATTAAAAGAATGAAGAGATAAGCTTTAGAGTGGATAAAATTATTTTCCTGTTACATATCTGAAAAGGAACTTGCACCCACCAAAAATTAAGATGACTCAAAAATAAATGGTGAAGAACTAACTAGCAATCCAATGGGAAAATGCTGGGAAGAGTCGAGGCAAAGCACGTGAACAGACCTTAATCAAAGAAGGTGTGTGTATATGTGGAAGGCAAAGAAATGCATTTCTCCACTAGGGAAGTAAATTCACAGTGCGATTCTGCAACACAGTTATTAGAAGGGCTTAAAAATAAGAACTGTGATAGTATCAAGTGCTAGTGAGGATGCAAAGGAAATGGAACTTACACACAGAGCTTACTGGGTGGCAACACTTACAGCAACTCAGGAAAATGGTTTGCAAATTTTTAATAAAGTTATACATACACATATCATGTGACTCAGCAATTCTACTTGTCAGATTCACCCTAGAGAATTGAAAAGTTGTGTTTATAGAAAAACTTGCACACAAGTGTTTTCAGAAGTTATGTTTACAAGATTGAAAAGTTGGAAACAACTCAAGTGTCCCTCAGATGGTAAATGGATAAACTGCAGTGAATTCATACAATGAAGTAATAGAGTTAAAAAAGGTATATTTAGCTTTAGATGCACCAAGACACTTGCCTAAGACAGGTTCTGTTGATGTAGACGACAACAGCTTGGATGGACATTAAAGGCTAAGTATAAGAAGCTAGTTTCAAAAGGTTACTTATTGTGATTCCATTTATATGATTTTCTGAAACAGAGAAAACCATAATGACATAGCAGATCAGTGCCTGTCAGGAATTAGGAATAGGGCAAGTGTGTGGCTACTAAGGGATAACAAGAGAGTGCCTTTCAGATGAGGAAACCGTTCTTTCTCTATCTTGATTATGGTGGTGGTTAATGAAATTACACACATGTAAAAATTTATACAATTATATCATAAAGTCAATTTTACTGTACGTTAATTAGAAAAATAATATTAACCATAGTGTAAAGTAGTGATATGAGTTTATTACCTAAGTAACATAAAGGCTGTCTCCAAATTCCTCTGAGATATAGTTTCTAAATTCCATACCTAAATATCAAATTACCTGTTTAACATCTCTGGGTGTTACGGGACTGATGTGTCTCATAATCATTCAAATAGAACATATGAACTCCCAATTTTCAATCTACACTCCCCATTTATGAACTTGCTCCTCTCTTCTCTCACTCAGAAAAGAACACTATCTGCTACCCAAAGTTACATTGCAGAAACAGAAATTTCATCTTCAAATCTCTCTCTCTCATCTAATATTGAACCAATCACCACATCAGGAAAATAGTTTGTCAATTTTTAATAAAGTTATACATACACATATCATGTGACTCAGCAATTCTACTTAGCTGTGTTTTCACCACACACACACACACACACACACACACACACACACACATTTAATTTCTGTTCAACCACCAGTACTTATTTTAAGCTATGGCACTTGATTAATGCCTTGTAAGAAGCCTTTTAACAGGTTTTTGTTTGGGTTGGGTTTGGGATTTTTTTTTTTTCTTTATCTGCTAATCTCTTTAAATCTACTTACTAACCAATAGGCTAATGAATGACTTCATGTTTTTACTTGATCCTCAGCACCCAATTGCTTAAAGTCTTTTAATAAATTTATGGTGGATTTGTAAGAAAATGCAAAAACAACTAAGGAAGCTGTGAGCCTTTATATGATCTGCCTCCTGCCCACTTCTCAGGTCTCATTTTGCACAACTCTCTTGGTAACTACTTACTAAGCTCTCTCTTTAATTACTTTCTTTCATTTTCCTGATTAAGGGAAGCTATTATTCTCTTTTTGTTAACACAAGTGTCCCCACCATGTTGATCTCTGCCCGTTATACTCCTCCACACCTACTCCATGACTCTAATGACTATTTATCACACAGATTGCTGCCTAGATAATATCTTCAGGAAAAAGCCTTGACTCCCATCTTCCAGAGAAGCGACTAATTATGTTCTTTATGTTACCAGTCTCTTCTTTAAAGCACTATGTCATTACATAATTACATGCAATGTTGCTCATTTTTAAATATCTGAATTATTAGTGGCTAGTGAGTTCCAATAAGGCAAGAACTACTGTCTGTTTTACTCATAGGTAGTCACAGTGCCTAAAACTACCTGCATATAATAAGCTCTAATATTAATAACAATTCATATGTGCATTTTAAATCATCTGGTACTTTTTTTCAGATTATTAATAGCGTATTTCTCTGAGAGTGGCAAAATTGGACGGGGTATAGTTTGGCATTTACCTAATGTAATTTTGTTGACAAGCTGATTTTATAAACAAATTAAAGCATACATTTAAATGTGTTAATACTCTTGCCAATAGTAGAGTTGCTGAGTGGTCATACCAATTTGCAACGAGTAAAATGTTTTGTGCCTGCAGTTTATTTCAATAATCTAACTTCTTTATAATCTAAAAATATTCTTAGAAGGTAGTCACTTTGAAATAAATAAATGTTAAGTGTTAGTCAAGTGTTCAATTTTATGTATTCTTGCTTTATTTGTATATAGCATGTCATGATGACATATGGAGTCTAAGGGTTTTTTAAAATTTTAAATTGGAGAATTTAATCAATAGTTAAGAACAGTCTATATTAGTGAGGATTATACATTTTAAATAACACAAAACCTAACTCAAATGACATTAAATAAGTAGGATTTACTGGCACATGTTGCTAAAACACTTAGAATTAAGATATTTGAAAAGCTTAAAAACTTTCCAGGCTTCTGAAATGTTCTGAATGATTCAATGCTTTCATTTCCCAGGGTGTTACTGTTTTCTATCTACACTTTGTAAATATGGCAGCTTTATTCAGTAGCGAGCCCATACTTATTACAAGGTATAACCAAGACAGAGGCATTACTTCTTTGCTCATCCATGAAAACAGGGGGCGGGGTATGAAGGACAATGATTTTATCCAATCAGTAATTTTAAAAAATAACGAATACCAGAAATCCTGGTATTTGCTGAAATGGCATCAAATAGATACAGGCATTCTTATCTAATCTAGTTGCTCTGTTCAGGAACAAACCATGGATTGCCTGGGTGACAAGGATTGTGGATTAATAGTTATTTTCGTAGGCTAATGAGGGCCCCCCTTAGATCTGAAGTGGGATGAATTTAATTCAAACTATGTAAGTGCTATACAATGTGAAGGTTATCCCAAAGAAAGAAAAATTGAAGTCTATAGGAAGAATGAAAGAAATATATAAATGTTTGAAAAGTCAGATCTGGCTACTTATAACAAATCACATGCAATTATTTGAAAATTTTATCAATTATCTAATAAAATACTACATGCAAAATTCTTATTTATTTATATTTAATGAGAACCTTTTTTAAGATGCAACCATTTATTGTCAGTGAAAAGAGCTTTCATTAAGAGAGAACCTATATTATTCAAACATAGTTGGTTTCCAAAGTCCATCAGTTTTGACCCAAAAGCACAGACACCAAGACTGCTTATTACTACAAAATTCAATTTTTGTCCTAAAAATGTATCAATATAAAAATTATATATTTAACATTTTAACAACAATTATGTATAAAAGTAAGAGAAATTAGAAATATATTACATAAAATGGCAATAATACTAATTTTTCATCTCTACAAATATGCTAGAGAATTTCCATTGTGCCATATTACAATAGTCTATTATTTATATGTATAACTGCATCACATAAAATGAATCATATAACAGACATTCTTGCTTCAATTAATTTTATATATTGCATACATAAAAATTATAAAAGCCAAAATCGTCATAAAATACAAAGTAAAATTTGAATTACTCTATTTTGCTAGACTAAGCTTTTTATAAGAGGAGAACTCCTTACTTAAAAAGTCCTGTCTACAAAATCTCATTAACTCTGGAGAGAAGGTTTTATTGTACTCTGTTATATAGAAGAAATACTATCCTCAGCAATGACTTGCATGATGCACATTAACAAAGATATTTCCAAGATTCTCCCCTTTTAAAACAATCAGAGATCTATTCAATGTACATTAAACTAGACCTTTTGTGGAACTAATCATTCAACACTTTGTTTGGGTGGCTATCCTTTCATGCTAAAAATTGCAAGTGCAATGTATCAACTGTTTGCCCTAAAAGTTTGTAGATTTTTGTTCTAACATACAATTTGATTTTGTTGCTATAGCAATTGCTATAGGGAAAGAAAATTAATCTGCCTTATAGTTTAGGCTCCTAGAGTGCACCCCCTGTGTGTGAGTGCAATAATTAAGTCTTGCTTACTGTGTTTTCTTTAAAACCTTTGATGTACCTGATGATATCATCACTGCTTGATTGATTTTTCAGGTAAGGGAAACAACCAAAATTAATTGCCCTAATCCTCACTCAAGGACAACACATATGTTTTGAGCTGAAGCAAACTGTTTCTTTTTGGTTTTTAAACAGCTAGACATTTCGAATTTCATTTGCATTTCCTTTTTTGTGTTACAAGAAAACATTCTGAGGGAGGGGGAAATCGTTGTAATCCACAGGTTGAGATTTTGGACGTGGAGCATGAAAGCGACAGAACAAAAGGATTTGCTCTTAAATTAATGCACCTCCCCTCCTAATACAAAATGACAGCAGTAAAGAAAAAGCTTTCAAATAAACAAGCTATGTTTAAAGGCAGATGCAGTTTAAATTGGATCTAATATATTATATTGTAGCAGCAGATAATTTTTAAAAAATAACTAATTTTTTTCCTCAGATCTTAAGGCAAAACAATTAATACCTATATTAACAATGTACAAGTATTATATAGGACTATTCCAACATAGCAAAAAGAGAAAAATAATTTTAAAATTGTGTTCATGTTTTTACAACTTTTTAACTATTACCATTTAACATGGATGATATAAAATTTATTCACATATTACTTCAGGAACATGAGGTTTTATTGACTAATCAAGAAAAATAATTTCTGCTTTTAGGAAAATAGTCAATTCTATGTAGCCAGTCCCAAAGCATGCTAACATTTACTGTAATTATCTAAAACCAACATAAAAGTTTATTTCAATCCACCCATTAATTGGTTTACTTGTTCTCAATTACCAGTTTCCTTTCGTACCCTTGAACAATTATTCCTATTTTTGGCACTATCTTATTAAACTTATATTCTTTCATAAAAACAGAATGCCTGGCTTCTCATTTTCTAGACAAAATAGAAAACATTACCTACGTAAATTTCCTAAAACCCACTGTGTTGCAATTACACAATTTATATAACCATGCCTGTTCTCTCATCCTTTTCTCCATGTCACAGTAGGAAGGCTCTCTCCTGTTTGGAGGCAATCTTTACACCTAATTGTATTAATTCCTTCTTTCTCAGAAGGCTATAGATATGTACAAATCTCTTTTACTCTACCATATTTAATTTTAATACCATCTAACTTTATTTTTCCACCTATATGTTAATTTCTTTATCAACCACATTTCTAATAAGATAATGTTTTCTACTAAGTCCCTGAAGAAAGATGCATGCCCCAGATTTTTTTTCTCCCTAACAATGTTAAATTTACTCCATATAATACAATATAATTTCTAGTCATTCCTTAACATTCTTTGGAAATCTTTGTAAGCACTGTGGACTTCTCAATTTTACTAGCTATAAAGGTGAATTAAAAGTTTATCAAAATGATTTAAAAATTTTTTCCAACATTCATTTTAACCAGAGGTCATTTTCAGTGACTGTGTTTATCCAACTCTTGTCTATCCTACCATAATCTCCTTCAATATACAGCCTTCATGTAAGAAGAAAAACAATTATAATTGTAGAATGAAAATGACTCTCTAAATAAATATGGAAAAACCTAATCTCTGAAATAAATCTCTGAAATAAATGTCTGAATACTAGAACAGTAAACATAGTACATTATGAGGCTAATTACTATTTATTTTATTATCCAGAAATTGGTGATAACAGCTGTGAAAGGAAAATAAATCTTTGGACTCCCAAATTACTAAGCCAAGGGAAAAGTCAAGCTGGCAACTATGTCAGGCAAACCTGGCTCCTATTTTATTTCTAAACAAGATAGCTACAATGATAAGCTACATACCTCCCTCACAATTCACCCAAGGAAATTCCTTGTGAAAAAAGGACAGACAGAACTCAAATTCATCCCTCTGAGGCTCACCTGAGACAAATGCATAGCTGATTCCTTCCTCTGCCCTATGGTTTATGTAAAAATGCAGACTCCTTGAGTCACCCTAAATTGTGTATTCAGTGGAAGGCTGATCAAGAACTCAAAAGTGCAACCTTTTGTCGCTTATGTACTTCTAACCTGGAAGCCCCCAGTTTGAGTTGTCCTGCCCTACCAGACCAACCAATGCACTTTTTATACATATTGATTGATGTCTCATGTCACCCTAAAATGTATAAAAGCAAGCTGTACCCTGACCACCTTCAGCACATGTCATCAGGACCTTCTGAAGATGTATCACTGGCACATCATTAACCCTGGCAAAATAAACTTTCTAAATTGACTGAGACCTGTCTCAGATATTTTGGGTCACAGAATATATAGGAGAATCACAGAACATGTCTTTCAAACTAGCACACTTTTGAAAGTAAGAGAGACTCTTCTAATAATTATGCCTAGACAAAAAAAGAAAAGATTAAAACTATGAAGCATGATCATTCTACATCCCTAGCCAGTTTTAATTTCTTTGTAGATTTAATTGTTATTCCTGTGAACCCTCAAAGAGCCAATTTTTCAAGATAGATCCTAAGTGATTAACTGGGCCTAAATGAGCAAAGCAATCATTTGTTGACTAGAGGTAACACACTGCTCTGCATTTCTGGAAAATCCCCCCACTTGGTTAACTTGGAGATTTTTATAACTGTCCTTTTCTGTTTATGTCCCTGAATTAGCCAATAGACTTTGACCTGAATCAGTCACTCAGAAATCAGCAAGTTTTGACCAATCAGAACTCAGAAAGCATTAACCAATGATAATTAAGCAGGTTGCATCCTGTATTTGCATAAGTGAACCGGAGTGAAAACCTGGGTGGAACATTTCTCTGTAAAAGGTAACCTCTCTCTTGTAACCCCTCTCTTTGTTCTCTCTTTGTTTTGTATAGCGGCTGCTTCTCCCTAGCTTGTAACTATTTACCTGAGTAAAGTCTCTGGATTTTCTTAAAAGAAAATCTTTTTCAGTGGATTTGTTGACATATCATTTGCTCTGCATTTTCTTGGCCAATGACATTTGTACTGAGATTATCAGGGTTGTTTCACTTTACCTATTGCATTTGCTTCTTTTTTAAAAAATGAAATCTTATATATTTTTCAAAGTGTAGTGATCTTAATACTTTGAGTTTAGTGTAAAAAGAAATTCCAAAGCCAAAGGCACATGCATTATGACATTCAGTATGCAAACTCAATAACCTTGTTTATAGTATAGCATGGGAGTCGCTGTGCATAACAACATATCTTATGTACAAAATCATATGGCACTGAATAAAATGGCTACTTTTGATAATAGTTTGCATCATTCTAAATGAAAGTAAGAAAAAGAGAAGTTCCAGTCACTTTAATTATTATTCTAATTGGCATAATTTTCAGTGGATTCTTCCTTTTTTTCAAGAATTTTGAAGGCATATAAAGATCCCCTCAAAGGATTTTCTCATACTTATTTATTAAGGAATATTTAATATGTCTTCTGGGAGGCTTCCCAGATGACTATAGCTGCCTAATACAAATATAAGTTTGCACGCAACACACACACATGCACAAAAACACACATAGGCACTCAAATAGAGATATTATAAAATATTGATTTATATATGTAAACTGATATAAAACACAAACCCTTGTATATGCATTAATATCTCCAAACGTATACAATTATCCATTTTTTCAAGTGAACGAATGTTGCTAAAATAATATTATAATTAAAATGATTAAATCTTGAAGTGTGGTTGCCCTACTTCCCAATAAGTAGGAGTTAGATTCTGTTTGTTAAAGCATACCAGTCACCATCATGACAAATCCAAATCATATACTGAGACATACTCTCAGGTTTCATTTTCTGTTTACAAATTAAGTAGGACAATAAAATGTAATTTAATAAATATACATTTCTTTTTATGTAGATGATCTTTAGTGATCTAAAACTATAAGAGCAATAAAACAACACTATTTTAAATTTGTATGAATTCATAAATGTATAAAGTGCAAATATGAAATGGCTTTTTTCGAACTTTAATCACTATCAAATTAAGTTACTCATAAGTATTCAGAAATTTTATTAAAACATGAACAATTTTTATATTTCTTAATTTTAAAATAAAGTAGTAACATAAGGTTCTGTTTTAAGGAAAATCAATTTATATTAAAATAGAAGAAAATCACATTTATGCTAACATGATAGCTAATTAGAGGCTATACATTTAAAGGTGATAAGTTAATGTTTGTGGAGACTATATTAGTTATAAATGCTATTTTGAAAAATATACGGTACTCTAAAAAAATCTTGATTCAATTCTTTAAAATATTGCCATCTGAAATCAAAGAATAAATGCTTGAGGAGACGGATAACCCATTCTCCATGATGTTCTTATTTCATATTTCATGACTGTATCAAAACATCTCATGTACCCACAAAATACATACACCTACTCTGTACCCACAAAAAATTTTTAAAATTGCCATCTGAAGAACTACCTGAACAGTGATGCTCACTCATCTATTTAATTTCTGAAGTGTGGTATTGTGTGTAACTTGAAAATAAATTATCTTTGATAACACAGATTCACTGAGTTTTAAAGAAACAATGGAAACAAGTATCAGGACTGTGTCTACATGAGGGCAATGTGTGGATTACGCAGATTGTATTCACACTGTGGCTAGAATAATATTAACTAATTTCCTAGCAAATATGTATTCATCAACATTATGAAAGTCCTTATTAAGTCCCCACACACCTTACATTAATTCCTAATTAGTAACTAAAAATGTCAGAGCCAAAGGGAAAAAGCTGTACAAATTAAAAATAAATGAATTATTAACATTAGTCACCAAATGGAAAGGAAAACCAAAATTGTTTCTCATTACATGGCATAGGATACTGCTAGCTTTCATAATGACTTTAATTATGTTTAGATTAGTAAATTTATAATAATTTTCCTAATGGTGAATTTTAATTATGCATGAGTTGGTCTTAAAAATAAGAAAGATGATTTCTTATGTGAAAATATATCAATCTGTATATGTACATATATCTACATATATATGTTAATTTTTTAATGAAAAACCTAGGGAATTGAGAAACATCTGAGATGCAGAACATAATTTTGATCAAAGAATAAATTGAGGAAGCATCTAAGGAGGGAATCAGTCTATGTATTTTTGTTCAGTGTGTCTAAACATTATAAATCTGCATTTTAGATGTACTATATTTGCCCACCCAGGTAAATTTAATGATTTGACTAATTTAAGTACTTTACTAGAATAGGCAAAAAAGTGAATTGGCCAGAAGCCAATCAGTAAATTAGACTAGGAATAAAAAAAGCAGGGGGACAGGGGAGAGAGACAAGCAAGGAATGAAAACCAAAAGCAAAGCAGTAAATCTTGAAAATATTAATATGTCCATAAATTCTAAAAGTAGTAAAGATGTAATGTGTTAGACACAAACATATTAATATTAATAAAAAAAGATAATGTATACTTTCAAGTGTGACCTAGGAAAGTCTTTGGTACTTGACATAAAATACAAATATTTTAAACAAAAAGATTGGTAAAATGGAATGCAAATAAATCCTGAAAATATGTGTGTCTAATAAAACCTAAATGTGTTTATAAAGCCAATAATAATCAGTCTGAGAAAAAATATTGCAACAAATTGCCAAGAGTTTACTTCCTTAAAATATAGTGAAATCATGTATGAACGTTTATATGTATGACCATATACATACTATGCCCAATAGAAATAATATATTAATACAGATACATATACATGAGGCCAACATAGAAAAATTGCAAAACCCAAAGTGCACGCAGTCAACGAAACAAATAAAAGTCTAAAAAACAAAACATAATTATTCATATATACATTATATGTATTATACAAATTTTAATTTTTGACATTTAAATATTTGTACTGTATTAATGGATGAAACCAGTAATTAACAATGTTCTTTTATTAGCCTTTTAAATTTTTGTATATCTTCTCTCACATTTCTAATTTTGGTAATTTTTGTTTTCTTTCTTTTTCTACATGGTCAGTTTAGCTAAATATTTACCTACTTTTTAAAAATCATTTCAAAGAACTATATTTGCATTCGTTGTTTTCTCTTTATATTTTGTTTTCTACTTTATTAATTTTTGCTCTAATTTTTATTACTACTTCTGCTTATTTTGTGTTTAGTTTGCCCTTTTTCAGATTTCTTTTATTTATTTTTTAATTGGCAAATAGAAATTATATATTTTTATTCTGTATAACATGCTGTTATTAAATATGTATACATTGTGAGATGGCTAAATCTAGCTAACTAATGTATGCATTACCTCACATATTTATCACTATTTTGAGGGGGAGAATATTTAAAATTTAATGTCTTGGCAATGTTCAAATATACAGTCCAATCTTATTAACTATATGTAGTATGTTTTATAATAGATCGCTTGGACTTATTCCTCCTATCTAATGTCAATTCATTATTCCTTAATCAACACCTACCCAGTATTCCTGTACCCACTACTTACCCCTGAAAACCACCGTTCTATTCTCTACTTCCACAGGTTTGACTCTTTGGCTTATTTCACATAGCATAAATTCCTCCAGGTTCATTTATGTTGCTGCAAATGATAGGCATCTCTTCTTTTTTTGGGCTAAATCGTATTACATTGCGTCTATATACTACATTTTTAAAAACTCATTCATCCCTGGTGGACACTTATGTTGTTTCCACACCTTGGCTATTGTAAATAGTGCTGTAATGAAGATAGCAGTGAAGATATCTCTTCAATATACTGATTTAATTTCCTTTGAATATAGACCCAATAGTGGAATTGCTGGATTATATGGTACAGTAGTTCCCCCATGTATGGTTATGCTTTCCACAGTTGTTGGACTGAAAATATGATTTTCAGAGAGAGAGAGAGAGAGAGAGAGAGGGAGAGAGAGAGAGATCACATTCACATAAATTTTATTATAGTATGCTCTTATAATTGTTCTATTTTATTATAAATTATTGTTGTAAATCTCTTGTTGTGCCTAAGCATCAATTACACTTTATTGTAGGTATGTGTATAGGAAAAATCAAAATATATATAGGGTTTAGTACTACCCATGATTTCGATCCCTTCTAATTCTATATATGCCTGACAGTATGTTTGGTATTATTTCAAACTTTTAAAATGTATAAAGACTTGTTTCATGGTCCAGTATATAACCTGTACTGGAGAGTCTCCCATGTGTGCTCAGAAAATTGTTTATTCAGTTTTTAGTATGTTGAGTTTTCTCCAAATGTCTGTTAAATAGTGCTGCTTAAGTCTCCCAGACCCTTGCTAAATTTCTATCTAGCTGTTCTGTCCATTATTGAGAATGGAATATTGAAATGCTTATTATTGTTAAATTGTCTCTTTGTCCCTTTAATTCTGTTAGTATTACTTCATGTGCTTTGTGACTCTGCTGTACATTGAGTAAATGTTTATAATTGCTATAACTTTCTGATGAATTTATGATTTTATCATTATAAAGCATCCTTCTTTGTCCCTAATAATATTCTTATATTAAAATCTATTTTTTTCCTGAGAATAGTGTAGTCATTGTAGCTCTTCTATTGTTTGCATAGTATATATTTCTCTATCCTTTTGCTTTTAATCTAATTGTGTCTTTTATTTTATTTTTTATTTATTTTTGAGACAAACTCTCACTGTGTCACCCAGACTGGAGTGCAGTGGCATGATCTCGGCTCACTGCAATCTCTGCCTCCTGGGTTCAAGAGATTCTCTTGCCTTAGCCTCTCAAGTAGCTGGGACTACAGGCGCCCACCATCACACTTGGCTAATTTTTGTGTTTTCAATAGAGACGGGGTTTCACTATGTTGAGCAGGCTGGTCTCAAACTCCTGACCTTTGGTGATCCACCCGCCTCGGCCTCCCAAAGTGCTGGGATTACAGGTGTGAGCCACCACACCTGGCCTATTTGTGTCTTTTAATCTAAATTATATCCCTTTTAGATCTCAGAAACTTGGAACTTGTTTTTGTTTTTTGTTTAATTTAGTATGGTTCTTTCTGTCTTGTGAATGAAATATTTATACAGTTACATTTTGAATATATCTTATTATACATTTTGGCCTTCATTATTTTAAAAATAAGAAATCACTTATCAATCTTATTATTGTGTTCTTTTGCTAGATGTGTCCATTTTTTTCTTTCATAGTACAAAATATTATTTTGTTTACAGTTTTCAGAAATTTGACTCTGGTGTGTGTAGTCTTGATGTGAATTGCTTTCTGTTTATCCTACTTAGAGTTTCTTAAGTTTCTTGGACTTATGGACTAATGTTCTTCATTAAATTTCAGAATTTGGGGCCATTGTTTATTGAAATATTTTTCTTTCATTTCTCATCTCTTGATTATCTCATTACTTTTATGTTGGCATACTTGATAGTTTTTCTTAATTCTCTAGTCTCAATTCTCTAGGCATCTTGGTTTTATTTTTCTGTTCTTCAACTAGAACAATTTATATACATCAATCATTAGGCTCACTGATTTTTCTGTCATTTCAAAAATGCTTTGGCTTTTTAAATATATTTTGCTTTTCAAAGACATAATTTTCATTGGTTCATTTTCAAAATTTTTTTCTTAAAAACTCCCATTTTCAATGTTATTTTATTATATTTTAAACCATTATATCCCTTATTTCCTCATCTATATTTATAATAGCCACTTATGTCCTCCCTGCCTTGGCAGTTTCCATTATCTTTTTTTTTCTTTGAGTATGTTACAAATCTCCTGTTTCTTTGCACATCCAATACCTTTGTTCTTGTTGAAAAGTGAGTATTTTTGATAATGTGTATTAAAACTATGGATTCTGATTCTCATTAGGTGATGCTGCTGTTGCTGTTGCTATTTGATTTGTTTTCTTCCTTATTTAGCAATTTGTCAGAATAGTTCTATACAGACTGTCTGCACTGTGATAGCCACTGATATCTATTTTAGTTTTGGTGTGTGTGTGTGTGTGTGTGTGTGTGTGTGTGTGTGTGTGTGTGTGTGTGTGTCTGTTTTAAGCCTGCTCTTTCCTAAGCGTAGCTTCTGGTCTGCATTACCTAGGGATCATTTTGAGTATGGCCTCCATCTTTTGTCCATGTATCTGTGTAGTAGTTGATAACTATGAAAACTCCAAAAACCAAACAACCTTAGGTGGTTTACAATTCTGCCCTAGATTCACTTTCTCCCAGGTTCACTCCATGCCTCCTGTGCATGTGCATAAAACCTCATATTTGAAAGCATGTGTTAATTGCTAGGTCATTTTTTGTTCTCTTCTGAGTTTGCATGCAGACAGCCAGGGTACGCATGAGCTTAACAAGGCTGCTGTGGTTGTTTCATTGCCCTCATTTTCCTGCTAAAATTCTCATTAGTCTGTCAGCCTATTGCTTGCCCCAACCAAAATTGCAACCTCAAGCGTGCTTAGACTTTAGCCTTCCAAATTCATTTGACACTGATAATGCAACTGTTTCTGACAAAGCCCAGGGGAATCTGGTTTTTCCACTCTCTTTTCCAAATCAAGCAATTTTTTACTGGTAGCAAAACTGGTGAATACTGTAGCTGGTCTAACTCTGCAAGAACTACCAAACTGACAGAGCGAGGGCAATGGGAACATCCCTCTCCTCTTATTTTCATCAAATCGTGTATCTCACTGATAGTATTGCAAATTCAACTAAATTATCGCCAGATATTACTTTCCTTGAGAGTAACCCCAGTGTACTATCATAATCATGAGTATGTGGTAGATATAAGAATAAAAGGGAAATTATTCCAATAACTATCAAATGCATTGTGGTAATATCACTAATAAATTTAATTCAAGGAAGATTCAATATTAAAATATATAGTAAAAATAAATGTATTATTAATTTCTGAATAATTTAAAAAATCCAGAATTTCAATTATATTTTAATATCTGCCTCATTATTGCAAACTCTCCTTGAATAATAACAATCAAAATAAATTTCAAATACACCTTTTGCCAATTTTCTTCAATAAAAAGGTTTATAAACATGGATATTTCATTAGTGCTGTAATATTGATAAACTTCATCTTACATTGAAGGTTTTAGATACACTGAATCATCAAAAGATGTTTATATTATGATCAGTATATTTTATTTTTCAGTGGTTCCTATTGTACACATATTGAAACTGATGAGAAATTGTATTTTAACTCCATGCCAACCATCATTTTGTCTGATTGATCAAAACACCCAAATTGTAAAATATGTTGGATACTGTTTTATAGAAAACTTAATTTCAATATTAAATTCATTTCCTGCAAAATTTAACATTTTATAACAAGTAATTATTTTTGAGTCTAGGTTTCGGTTATCACAATAATAATTTTATACCACACTTAGTTTCTTGAATTATTTGGTGGAACATAGTCATCTTAGGTATCAACTATGAGTTTCTCTGCTTGAATGAGCTAATGAGTTATAATCCAGTTTCACACAACATGCACTGTATTGTCCAATTGTGTCTAGGTAAAGACTAACTCTTTAGGTTAAAGCTCTTTTATTTTAGAATGAGTGCTGGAACAGGAGTCTGTTAATGCTAGTATGTGTTGTTTTCTATCTTTACTATTATTTCTAATGTAACAGGAACAAAATGTGTGTTAAGTGGGAAGAATCTTGTTATATGGAATGCTCTCCATATTACTCCCTTTTTTTCCCAGTGCATTAGAGGTTTCACATATGCACATTTTGCATAGTCCTTGAGAATAACCAAGTTACTTAGCATAAAAAACAGAAAAGAATTTGTTTTATCCAGGGAAAAGTAAAACCAGGCACTGAATTAAAAAGTAGAAGGTAGCCAAAACAAGTTTCAAGTTCAGTTTCTGAAATCATTGTATTAGTTCTCTCTCACGCTGCTATAAGGATATACCCGAGACTGTGTAATTTATAAAGGAAAGAGGTTTAATTGACTCACAGTTCCGCAGGGCTGGGGAAGCCTCAGGAAACTTACAATCATGGCAGAAGGGGAAGCAAACACATCCTTCTTCACGTGGCAGCAACAAGGAGAAGTGCAGAGCGAAATGGGGGTAAAGCCCCTTGTAAAACCATCAGATCTTGTAAGAACTCACTCAGTATCACATGAACAGCATGAAGGTAACCACCCACATGATTCAATTACCTCCCACAGGGTCCCCCCATGATATGTGGGGATTATGGGAACTACAATTCAAGTTGAGATTTGAGCCAAACCATATCAGTCATTATTGTAATAATTACTGGGGAAGAGAGACCATGTTTTACTTTTAACTTCTGTTTTGGCTTGTTCTGGTGTTACTTTTGCTACATGTGATATGACATGAATTCCTCAAATGCCAACCTGCAATTCCTTTAACAATATTCACTAACTAATAAAATCAGTTCTGTGTGAAAGTAAACACTTCTTTTCATTCAGTTGATTGTTATGAAGGGTATTTTGTTAGCATGTATGTATAAGTAATTTCAGGGGAAGTTCTAACACATGGAGGATAGAAACTGCATGAGTCAGAGAAGCCTAGGGTCATGGGAAATCAGGCCAAAATGTAGCTTTATGAAAAGAGAAAAGAAAAGAGAGGAGAGGAGAGGGGAGGGGAGGGGAGGGGAGGGGGAAGGGGAGAGGGGAGGGGAAGGGAGGGGAGGGGAAGGGAGGGGGGGAGGGAGAAAAATACTCCACAGATATAACTTTATTTTTTTCTCTTTAACATGAATAAAACCATAGTTCTCTACCCCATTACACAATAGAAAATGCAGACAACTATTAAACACATGTCTCACTTTGCTAGTGTAAGTTGACCGATTTCTTCAGTTAACACCACATCTGCTGAAGATGGTCGACTTTCTTTTATGTCTAACCATTAATAATAAGAAGACATAGTTATTAGTTCTCCTCAAAGCTTAGGACTTTTGCCTTCACAAAGATTTGGTAGGATGAGCTGTGTTTTGTCCCAGGTAAAGTACTTCTGCGATTACGGTAAACACAATGGTTCTATCTGTTCCATTCCAGAAACTTTAAAAAGAAAATCAAGGAATAGGTTAATGCTCCTCCTTTCCTAATGAAGTTTTCTAGCCTGCTTTTTCTGCTAGCATCCCAGCTCCCTCCTGACTTGTTTGTTCCACCAGTAGCGTGGGCTGGAGTCTAATTTGCTCTATTGCTTCTGTTTCTTATTATATCTAAATATAACAATCGGAAACACTGTTCTCTTCTGAAGAGGTATTCTTTTGCTCTCTTCAAATGTGTTCATATGTTTTCACCATTCCTTACCTTTCAAAGAGAAATAATCAAAAACAGCACTTAATTACTTTATGAAAGATTTGCCTGATGATTTGGTTGAATAAATGGTGTACTTATAATAACAATCATACTGCTGTAGTATAATTATTTATCATGACACATCTGGAAATTTGGATGATATAAAGGAAGGTATTTTACATTATAGAAGTATTCCAAGTTATTAACTTATTTAAACCAGTCCTTCCTTGTAAATTTCTTTAAGCTTTTTTCTGTTCCTAGATTTGTAATATTACCTTTTGTAATTTCTAGCTTTATTTATCCTTTAGCATTCATCCACTTTAGGAAACTGCATAAAGCATATGAGCCAGCTTCTTTTACAAAAAGATTAATGTGGGTATCGAGACTGCAGGGAAGCATATTTAAAGTGTTTGTTAAAATTTACTTTCTTGAATGACACAGGTGTATTTTGATTTTTAACAATAGTCATTTGGCACTGTCTATACATTTAATATAATAATGAGATAATGATATATTTCAAGGATAAAAGATAACTCAATTGGTTTAATGGCCTTTCATTACAGATATATTTTTTCCAAGCATCACAGGAACCATTTCATCCCACTGCTAATTTTTTTTTTACATATGAAGAAAATGAGACACTGAAAGGCTGACTTCTACAAAGTGCAGAACTCTGATTACAACCCAATTTTCCTGATTTATTTCATAGTACCTTTACACGTCAGTGTGTGTGATTTATAAGCATGTTTTTCAAAGAAAATGAGATAACAGCAGAAATCTGTAAGGCTTGTAACTGCTATCAGAGAGCTATGAAACAAGGGTAGATGCAGCATTTGCTGGTTAAGAAAGTATCAAATTCTCCAAACAGTCTGCACTTTCGGCTTCTCTAAATATGCTTTTAAATATGCTTTAGCATATTTAAAATATACTGTAGCATAATCCTCCAACAGAATAATGAAGTTAGATTTTTGAGAGTAGGTTTAGCATTTGCATTTTTTATTTACCTCAGATGAGTCCAATATGTATCCAAATTTAAAAACAAGGTTCATTTTTTTTTTTTTAACCAATGTTAGGGCCACCTGGATTTAAATACTGTTTAAAAATGCAAATTCCTAAATCCATCAAAGAATTATTGGATCAGAATCATCCTTTAATTGGCATGGTTTCCAGGCTATATTAAAGCAAATGGTATTTTAAAATAATGAACATGTATGGTGATTTTTCATTTTCTCTTGGGGTGTATTTACATACCTGTCAACTTTGGGAATATTCTGCTCCAACCCTACAGTCTATCTTGGTCTTGAGGTGCCTTACTGGTAATTCTTGGTCAAGGCCTTAAAACAATGGAGACATAGATGTTTATGGGCAGACTGTGAGAGGGGAATTAGTAATTGTCATGTGCTTTGTGCCCACATTTTCAAACTGTAACTGTATATAAAACTGATTAATTTGTAGAATCTAAGAGATAGAAATAAGTTGCCTACTAGTAGGTTGCTTTCAATGTCTGAGATCCCTAATCCATATTTTATCTGTTCAAAAATATTAGGGATTTTCATAGAGATCTGATTTAATTGAGCTTCTAACATATAGCATATTATAATAATATGATAAAGATGTCCTTTGAAGATGTTTATACATACCGACATCTGCTGAAGATGGTTGACTTCCTTTTATGTCTAACTATTAGTAATAACCAGATATAGTTATTAGTTCGCCTCAAAGCTTAGGACTTTTGCCTTCACAAAGATTTGGTAGGATGAGCTCTGTTATGTCCCAGGTAAAGTACTGTTTTAATCAAACAGTATTAGCCAACAAGCAAATGGAAACAAAAATCGTATATTCCACATGAAAAATCATTATACTTTCTCTGATTCTGAAGAGAATTCTGTGATAAAGAAACGTGTATCAAAAAATTTTCTACTTGAATGTTTAAGAACAGGACATAGAGTGGCCTTACCACAGTAATCTTCCTTGCGAATGTAAACTTTGTTAACAAATACTTGGATATTAGAGAGAAAAAAATCCTTATATTTAAGGTATTCAATAAATTAATATTTAAATCCCCCATATTAAAATTTACTTATTGGGTAATGTTAGGCATGTGATTACTTCTAATACTTTCATCCTTGCATCAAAAAAAGAAGAGTTATATGTATATTGTAACATTGAATGTATAACCCTGATCAGAAGAAAGGAAATTCTAGAGACACCTTTTCTCTGTAATCTCAGTTAATATCTGCATTGCTGTTCAGAAATTTCTATCTCTCCAAAAATAAATATGTTTCTTCATAAGGATAAAACATCTACCTTGCATGATTTACACTGTATAAAAAAATTCTAACACAATATCTAAAGTAGAGTATTTCTAGTGCTGATTGTTAAACTAAAAGGATATTGACAAACTAGAAATGAGTAACTAGTTATCTGAAAGATTATCTTTATAATAATCTCCCATTTAAAAATATACATTCCATACCTCCACCCAGTCATTGAATAAAGGTTTTGTGATCGTGGTATTTTGGGATCTGCCCCTTTGCTAAGCACAACTTTTGATTCATATGTACATTCAGTTTAAAAACCACTGAGTTAGAATCACTGAAATAAAGGATTTCAACCAGTTTTATGCCATCTCAAAATCAATAACAATGAAAAATATCCCTGACTCCAATTTTAACATCGTCTGTGTTTCAAGAAGATAATAAGCTTAGCACACACTTGATCTTAGCCAAAAGGCCGAGAAGTGATAATAAGCTTAGCATACTAAGATAATTAGAGTGGTGCTTCATAAAATACTGATTGTAATCAATGAAGATATGTTTCTGTTTTTGGTTCTTTAGGTTACAGAAAAAGAAAAGAAACACCTGTACCATAAAACTTTTCCCTATTTTCTGAGAAAGATAAACTTATGTGTAAGTTAGTGTAATTAAATTTTCAAAGCTCTGTAGGGTCAATAATTGTACTTCATAAAATGGAAACAACATATCTGTTTTCTAACAAAGGTATTTTTCAGATTTATAATATAAATTGTAATCTAAGTATAAAAATACAATGTCCAGCATAATTAGAAACAATGATAAACCTGAACAACAAAAGTTATATAATTTTAATTGAGAAAGATGACATTGAATACAAAAGACAATTGTAAGTCTTGACACAATGATATTTTGTGGATACTTAAAACTGAGTTAACAAGTGCTTTTTTACACCTTAATGATGACTATAATGTGTCAATTAAAATGATTTAAAATATCTAAGTCACAAGAACTATGCGGAAGTTCTTTATACAATATGGTAGGGGGTTTTAATGTGATCCACTTCCAAACTGAAAGTTAATAAATTTATGTTCAGAACAAATTTTAAAAAGTAATGTTATGGAATAGATACATAACATAAATTAACAAACATATCCCTATTTTTGCATTATAAAAATGTTTTTACATGACAACATACTCTTCCTAGTTATTATTCCTTGTAGTTAATAAAAATTGAATAATAAGGTAGCCAATAATTGACTTGAGATATATCAATGAGGGTTTTTTCCTCTATCATTATGGAAGATAAATGCTCTAAGGGTCAACCTGACTAAAAGAATAAATCTAGATTTTGGATATGACACATCTTTGAGGCTTTTCTTTTGTCATAAAATACTGGAAAATACTCTAAAAAAAAAAGGATACGAAAAAACTGTGAAAAGATGTAAAATTAAATTTCATCTACTTTAAGTATCTGTATTGTTCAGATGATAGAATTTTGCAACACTATCATTAAATACTGGATTATTTATTTATATAGTAAAATTTCAGCCCAGCTTGATATTCCAGGCTAGGTTTTAAATGAGAAGGCCCTAGATTGGTGGCATTTGCTAGCTACTGACACATTTCGAAGCAACTCTTTTCCAGAGTAAATCTTCTGTAGTGAAGGACTAAATCTACTGCATTAAAACAGAAAGTAACATGCTCAAAAACACACTGTAAGAAGATACATCGACATTAGAGAGAGTTAACGACACAGCACAAAACAGATTTAGACTCCAAACTACAGGCGTTTAGTTTTAAGAAGTAAAGTGTATGTGTGAAATATTTTTAAAAATAATGATGCAATCTAACAAACAAATAAAAAACTCTCAAGAGATAAAACAGTAATGATAAAGTTTGGAGAAAAAAATATATACTTACTGAAACTAAAGAGAGACATAATAAATGTTTTAACAGCAGGTAAAGTATGTCTTGAAAAAAATAATTATGCACTCAAAGGGAGGGATTAAGAAATTATGGATGAATGAAGAAATGGAGATGGCTATTTTGAAAGACAGAAAACATACTGAGAACGATAAAATATTTATACATCTGGTCAGAATGTCAGAAGAAGAGAATGAAGAGAATAAAAAATTTGTGAAGAAATAATAGCTATAAATAATTCAGAGCTGGCAAAAAAATTTAACACAGCAGGATACAATGGCATATGAAAAAACTAATCTAAATCTTAGTTGTCAAGTGACTGGCATTATTTAACTAAATCATGATTTGAACCTTCAGGAAATGTGCAAAGTAAGGATTGCCTAAAGTAAGCAAAAGCAGAGAGTACCGAAATTAGGTGTATCCATAAATGCCTTTTAGTTTTTGACACTACTATTTTATTAATTGACAGAACAAGTAGACAGAAAATCAATAAAGATATAAAAGGCTTGAACAACACTAAAAACCAAATTGACCTGATTTATATTTATATCCTTCCACACAGCAATAGCAGAATAGTGTAAAGTTCCCATAGAACTTACCATCATAGGCCATATCATATCTCGTACATACAATATGTCTTACATTTTTAAATATTCAAATTTACAATAGAATTAAATGGAAATAGATAACAGAAACAATGGAACATTTTCAAATATTTGGAAACCAAATAACATATCCAAATAACACATATATAAAATAAAGAAATCAAGGGGAAGTTTAAATAGCATATTGAACTGAATAAAAAATGAAAACACAACATTAAAAACTGTGGGATGCAGCTGAAGCAGTAATTTGTATCCTAAGTTTCTGTATAAGAATTAAAGAAGATCGAAAATAAATGACATCAGCATCCAGTTTAAGAAACTAGGAGAAAGTAATTCTCATGAGCAATAGAGAAACAAAAAAGAGATAGTCTTCCAAAGTTAGTAAAGCTATGAACAGAAATCAATGAACTAGAAAGCAGAAATCAATAAAGAAAAGTTGTTAAAACCAAAAGTTACTTCCTCAAAAAAATCTAAAAAGTTATAATTTTCTGTTTAAATTTATTAGGAATAAATAACTTAGCAGAAATAAAATTTTGTATCACTAGACTTCCCCAGATATTAAAAGGATGTTGAAGAAATATTGGGAAACATTTATGGAAATACATTTTATCATTTAGACAAAATAAAAAAATATTAAATTTATTTAAAGATACAAACTAATTACATTCATAGAATTAAGATTAGGTAAGGTGGCTTTATGTCTATTAAAAATTGAATTTCTACATAAAAGACAAAACAATTCTGTGCAAACTCCATCAGAATATTAAAACGATGGATTTTGGGTGTTCTTACTACGAAATCAAAATTATGCTTATAAGAAAACCAAAGACACCATTTTCAAAAAAGTATCTATCTCATGAGTGTATATGTAAATATTTTAAATGAAATTTTAGCAAATAAAATCCAACAAAAAACTGAAATTTTTTAATGAATATTTGGTATTTATTCCAGTAATGTAAGCTTGCTTTAACATTTGAAATCAATCTATATAACTCATCATATCAACAAGCTAAAAAGAAAAGAGAGTTGAACAAGCTGTGTATAAAAGGAATGTAACCTCCCTATAAAAAGAAATATACAAAAATCTTAAGGTTAATAGCTTACTTAATTGATGAAAGAGAATGTTTTTCCTTAAAGTTAAAGAGTATGACAATGACATCTCTCTTTGCTACTTCTGTTTAATGTTGTACTGAGTTTTAGCCAATTCAATAGGGGAAGAAAAAAACTAAATTGCCTTCAGATTGCGAAGGAAGTAATAAGAATCTTTATATGGAACTGACATTATCTAATACAGAGAAATTATCTAATACATAGAAATATCTAATTGTCTAATACACAGAAATGCAATGGAATCTATAAAAAAGTTTCTCCAACTAATAACTGAGTTCAATAAGATTACATGAGGCAAAATTAACATAAATAAATGATTTGAATACCATATCAGGCATTAGTGAGAATGTTGAGGAATTGGAACTTTCATATACAGCTGATGGAAATATAAAATATTCCAAAGACTTTTAAAACATTTTGACAGTTTTTTTTAACAATCTGTACCACCTACCTATAATATATCCTAGTCTTTCCACTCCTATTAGAGAAATAAATGCAACTACAATGACCTGCACATGAATATTAACATATCTTTTTAATAGTAACAACTGGAAATAAAGCCAAAATGACAATAAACAGGCTAATGAAGAAACAAATATATATTCATAAAATGAAATACTACACAGCAACAACATGTATGATTTGGAAAATATTTATGATAGGTGACAGAAGCTGGACAAAAAAAGATTAATACTGTAGAATATCATTTATATAAATTTATATTAAAAAGGGGGGCCAGGCATAGTGGCTTACACCTGTAATCCCAGCACTTTGGGAGGCTGAGGCTGGTGGATGATCTGAGGTCCAGAGTTTCGAGACCACCCTAGCCAACATGGCGAAACCCTGTCTCTACTAATAATACAAAAATTAGCCAGGTGTGGTGGCTTGTGACTGTATTCCCAGCTACTCAGGAGGCTGAGGCAGGAGAATCATTTGAACCAGGGAGGTGGAGGTTGCAGTGACAAGATCACCCACTGCACTCCAGCCTGGGTGACACAGTGAGACTCTCTGACTAAAATAAAATAAAATAAAATAAAATAAAATAAAATAAAATAAAATAAAATAAAAATAATACTGAAAATGTAAGCTATAGTGTCAGAAAGCAGATCAGTAAAGGAAATTATCACAATATGGCACTAGGAAACATTTATCAATGAACATTTCAGCTCCCATGACACCTGAAAGTATTTTCTCTATTCTGATGCCACAATCTCCAAAGTTATCAGAAACCTGCATTCAAGAACACCTGTCAGAGTTTCACAAGTGATTATAAAACCACCTTCTGAAGAGGACCAAAACAATACAATTGTACATGAATGTCAAAAAGTTTTAGGGCAGCCATAGTGAAAGACACATTGAAAAGGAAATTTTTCACATCTGTGGCACACAATAATTTAACATAGCAATCATAATTATTACTGATAATGTACACTAAGGCATATCAGAATTACAGGAGTTTTCCATAATTTTGAAACACATACCAATAACATATTTATACAAATACAGCCCTCCAAAAAACAAAGAAAATTTCCTATTTGACAATGCTTCCTGTATAATTTTTATATAAAATAAATTAAATATATCATTTTTGGAGTTTAGGGAACCTAATATCTTAAAGAATTAATTAGTTCAGAAAAAGACATAATTTATAATTTGATTTTGGAAAGTTTATCAAATATCAAAGGTTTAAAACACTTGATATCACAAAATAGGATCCCAGGTCATTGTAAAATAAGTCATTCATTTAACCAAAGTGATAACTCAAGGATTTTTTTTTAAAAAAAGGCAAAAACCTTTATTCTTTGAGAGGAGACTTAATTTTCCAAACAATAAGCCTTAACAAAAACAGCCTGAAGCCAATGAAATTGTAAAGAATCTATAAATTTTAATTTCTACCATAAGATAAAACTTCCATAAGCCTTTTATAACCTTTATAACCTCTATTAAGGATTTAGCTAATTCTTCAAGAAAGTCTTGTTAATCTGACAAAGGGGCCCATACGCTGGTCTGATATAAGCATGCCTTTGACATTAATGATTAATTTATAGAGAAACTGAACTTATTTTATCTCTCAATATCGGCTCTTACAATCTCACATGCCCACCTCTTCTGCCATAGTGCCTGAGCCTTGAGTTGAATAGCTTTCATTGCTGGCCCCCTGTCTCAGGAATGCAGTTTCTTTTGATTGGCATCTTCTACTGTGCCTGAGGACGAGACCTTAATTGCTGTCAGTGTTTAAGATTTAGCAGGATATTAGGTTCCCTAAAGTCCAAAATGACATATTTGGGTTATTTGGTCACACAAGGCTGAGAGTGAGGGGAGGTGGGGATGATTAATAGGTGCAAAAAATAGGAATAATAAATAAGACCTATTATTTGATAGCACAACAGGATGATTATAGTCAATAGTAACTGTACATTTTAAAATAAAGATTGTAATTGGATTGTTTGTAGCTCAATGGATAAATGCTTAAGGGGAAGGACACTCCATTCTTCATGCTGTGTTTATTTCACATTTCATGCCTGTGTCAAAACATCTCATGTATCCCATAAATATATACACCTATTATTTACCCACAAAAATTAAAATTAAAAAAAATTAAAAAGAAAGAAATAGGGCCAGGTGCAGTGGCTCTTGTCTGTAATCACAGCACTTTAGGAGGCTGAGGCGGTGGATCACTTGAGGTCAGAGTTTGAGACCAGCCTGTCCAACAACTCTGTCTCTAATAAACTCTATCTCTAATAAAATACAAAATTTAGCTGGACATGGTGGCACATGCCTGTGATCCCAGCTATGCAGGAGTTTGAGGTTCGAACCCAGGAGACAGAGGTTGCAGTGAGTGGAGATCACGCCACTGCACTTAAGTCTGGGCGACAGAGTGAGGCCCTGTATCGAAAAAAAAATAATAATAATTGTTAAGCCAAATTTCATTGAAATTAAAAATTTCAACTCTGTTAAAAACGCAAGACTCTCAGTCAAGTGCAAAAATATGCACACAGTAAAAAATTATGTAGTTCCCAGGAGTTTGCAGGAGGAAGAGATGAATAGGCTGAACACAGGGGATTTTTAGGGCAGTCATACAGAAAATATTCTGTTTAATGGTAGATACATATTATCACGTTTGTTAAAAAAAATCAGAGAATGTACACCAACAGTGAATCCTCATGTAAACTATGAACTTTGGATAATACTGATATGTCAACCGTAGCTTCGTTGATTATAACAAATGTACCACTCTGGTGAGAGATGTTGCTATCCAGGGAGGCTATCCATGCGTGACGGGGGCAGTACGTGTATGAGAACTCTCCATACTTTCTGCTCAGTTTTGCTTTGACTCTAAAACTGCTCCAAAATATACAAAAATTGTCTTTTAAAAATGATTGCCTCTATTAAAATATTTTAAAAGCCACTGAGGTAATCATGATCAGTATCTACTAGCAACAAAGTGGTAGGCTAGGTTTCTGATTCATGGGGCTGTATTTGTTACATTCTAGTTAAATGACAGGTTTCTTTTTTTTTTTTTAATATTTGCAATAGTTACCAACATTGGCAAAAATCAAGAGTTCTATTTTAAACCTACTTATCCATTTACATATAAATATAAATGACAATTGCATCTCTAGAATATAATTACAGGTATATTTCTTTACAATGCATTTGTATTTGAATTAGTTAACGCCCTTCCATTATTTATCTTCAAGTCACGGTCAGTAAACCAAATTCTGTAATGATATTATTTTCTCTGACCAAGAAGTTTTCTCTTTAGTAGAATAATAAAATAGCTATTAATATCTCCAGCTTGAGGGAAAGACAATAATAAAACTTGCTCCTCAGATACTTTATACATATATATATATCATTTGATTCTGGAAAATGAATTGTTTCCTTCAGGCTCCCAGGTTATTCTTTAAAGATGTATTTTAAAAACTCATTACATTATTCAGCACATATTTATTGATTGCCTATCATGTGTCAGACAGTGCAAATCACTGGAGATAGAAAACTATTCCACATAGCCACAATACTTGCTTTCCTCAACCTCTCAGTTTGCTAGGGAATTGCAATTTAATCTGATAAATGCCTTATAAGATAAATGATATTGTGATGACCACAGAGAGGAGTACACTTAACTGAGCTTTGGAGGTCACACTTTAGGTCCAGAAGAACATTCTTGGAGGAAATAGCTAAATTTGGACATGAACAAGTTTTTCTTTGAGCAGAATGTGTTGAGATCACAGAGAGATAATTTTCATAAAACATTGTGAAGTAGTTATTGCCAATATATCCTCCATTTACACCTAAAACACAGAGGCTGAGTAACATGACTGAGTTCTTATAGCTCTTAAGTGATGGACGGGGGGCGGAACTTAGACAACAGAGTTCTGGAGTCCTTACTTTTTACCAGTTTCAAACTATTGCAACAAAGCGTTAGAAAAGAAGAGTGATACAGTATAACACATCTATTATGCTAATTAAGTTATATATACATAATATTATAACAATGAATTTTCTTATTTATTACCATTTTCATTACAGATATTCACATTCTATTAAATTGTTTAATCCTTTAGTTATTTTCAACTGATTATAAAAAGATGGATCAGAAACAATCCATTGTCTCATAAATCTTTTGTGGCATTTTGCTGTTCAAAAATTGTTTTATCCACATTGAGAATTGCTTATAAGTGTTCACGTTTCTCAATGGGAGATTTAAAGATAAGTATGACAGATGACTTATTTTTGTTTTAACAGAGGGGAGTTTATAAACTAACAATTGTGTAAGCTACTTATCCCTGTACTCTTGGTTCTTATGTGACCACCGGAGCCACTGTTCTCTGAGGTATTTTTGACTTCTGTAAGGATTCTCTGAATCCTGAACTTTCTATCTACTCTGAAAGAAGTCCTTTATTAACCTTTCTGAAAGCTTAAATTATAGGTTATGAAATATAAATTTCAAGCTTATTTATTATGATTATATTTACCTTATTACAATAATTGAAAATTAGTTATAATTTCACAGAAAATGTGAAGTATTTGTAATCTTCTCTAGACTCTTCTGTCAGTCTTGCAGTATTTATATTTTTAATTTATAGTATAATTCCTAATGGGTTTTTACTTTCTGCTCCTATTCCTGGAATTAAACTAAAAGTTTCTCCCTTTCTGACTTTCTAAACTCAGTCTTAGTTTTCCCACTCTCACAGGTTGTTAGTCGTGAAGCACCCTTTCAAATCTTTTTGCTCTAAGTAGCAATGTTTTGCTCAATGAGTAATTTAACTTCAGCCTTACATACAGGAGGATAAGCCAATGTTGGTTTTCACAGGTGTCTACCCGCCTCCCCCTAAATTCATGTGTGGAAATCCAATCCCTCTGAAGAGCTAATTAAGCTAAAATGGGGTCATTAGGTTAGGGCCCTCCTCCAATATGACTGGGGTCCTTATAAGAAGAGGAGAATAGGATGTAGACACACGCAGAGGGAAGACTGTGTGAAGGCACATGGAAAAGATGGTCATCTTGCAAGCCAAGGATAGAGGCTTCTGAAAGAACCACCTCCACTGACAACTTGATCTGGGATTTATGCCCTCCTGAGCTACACAGTCTGTGGTACTTTGTTATGGCAACCCCACACATTATCAATCCTGTGGCCATGCCTCTCCTCAACCTTCATGCCAAATGGTAACATCTGTAGTAGCATCCACATTACTGGTTCTTACTAATTTTCTCACAAAGCTAACCCATTTTTACAAAGAAAAGCTGAAAATGGAAAGAAAGAAGAAATTAAAATGATCTCACTCATAATTATTTTTGCTAATCTCTTGACAATACCACCAACAATGACTGCACATCTAAATGATGAAAAGCAATAGACTTAAAATGCTTGTCTTCGTGCAATGCAGCATGATGAACTAGTGGTTTAGTATATTCACTTCGATGTGACCATGTTTCTAGAGTCCCATGACACCTGCAAAACAAGTAAAAACTTTCTGTATATATAGCTCATTATTTGTGTTATGTTTGTGGTATTTGGACACTTTTCACAAGTTCCTTGTAAATGTCATAGTCTAGGGTAGGTATGAAGTCAGGGGAAAGGGGAAGTAGAAAGGAAAATTAGGCCCAAAGGGACATTGGTTCCAACATTTCACATTGATTCTACAACTTGTAGGGTTCTGTAATTCTTATGGTCACTACATGTAAGAAAAGTTACTGTCATTTATACACCTACGTGATGGAGTAACAATAGAAAGATCTCAATGCACTTAAATTTATGACAAGTTTAATTACTACCTTTGTATTTCCCTGAAGTTGCTAAACAAGTAATATTATAAAATATATTAGAAATCTGGAAGATAATAAAATGTCCTATAAAGAGTTCAAACATTTATGTCTTATAGATTTTAAGACAAAGAAGCAGAAATTTTAAAAACACACAAATATAGTTCTATGTTCTTAAGTTAAATAGTTTGAATAGTTAAAATTATGTGATGGCAGAAGACATTAATAGAATACTAATATAAATAACTATTATGACATTTTGTAAACATGCCATTTTAGAAGAAAGAAATACTTATCTATTTTAGAAAATGTATAGGTTTTGAAAATATTGCTAAGAGATATTAGGATTTGGAAATTATATGCTAGTACATATAAATATTTCTAACACTGTCTACATATTATTTAGTTTTTAAAATGTAAACCAATTAGAAATAGATGGTTTTATTGTTTCATTTAATGAGAAGCAACAAAAAATTCTTATTTATTATATAAACACTATTTAGTTAAAGCATCATGTAAGCCAAATATTGATATTACTGATTACATTCAACATATGAAAAAGACTAAAATAATAGTAAAAACGTATGTATTAAATAGGTTTTATTTGGCAGTCAGTTTACTAAGAACTAATGCGGCATAGCTCAATTACTTCTCAGAACAAATACTATGGTAAGCCGTTATTATCATCTTCATCTTTTTGGATGAGAAAATGGAAACAACAAATAGATATAATACCTTTTCCAAGGCCCTACAGGAAGTATCAAAGTTAGGAATCAGACATCACAATGTATCCTTTATTATTTACGCTGTACTTTTCTTGTTGTAATAATAACAAACACACACACATCACCCAGTGAATATCTTTTTTGACAAATATTTATTTTATTTTATTGGTAATTGTCAAATAATAATTGTATATATTTATGGGATGCTATATAGTGGCATATGCATAAACATACATAATATGAATATAAATCATATATATTAACTATATACACATACATATACACTAATGCAACTTTGTATGTTAAAATAATATATACATTATTGTTGCATGTATAGAAACACTTATGTGTATGAATTTACAGGCATTTATATTCATGTCTTGATTTATGGGCATAAAAGTATATTAGTTTGCTCATTAAATTAATTTAACTGAAATGGAAATATGTAAGTATGTGAAATAAGGAGAAATATATGAATATACATTGTTTATCACAGAAAAAATAATGACAGTTGACCTAGCTATGATAATTACTTTTATTTTTGGTCTCAACATTAAAAATTATTTTATACAAGATAAGTAGATTGTTTTTTGGTAGTACATTTAATGAAAGCCAATCCCGTTATTTGGGATCTGCAAAACATATTTTCTGGTATTCATATATCTGTTTAGGGAAACTATTCCAGGCAGTAAATATTTCATAACGATTTTATAAATATCATCATTTTCTTCACAGTTTTTATACTGCAAGATCCCTGGACCAAAAATGAAAGCTTGATAGAGCTCATTCCATCCACTGATTACCCCTAAAAATGGACTCATGCCTTCTATAATCTCTTCTGACATCAATAAAAATTAGCAGAAAAGTATCACTTTGACTATACAGTTTTGCAAACATTCTCTTTTTTAAAAAAAAATAATATATTTAATGGGAATACCTTAAAAAATTTTAAAAACTTTACTATCTTGTTGGACATCCAGAGGCATCTATCTTTAATTAAATATCAAATTTTACAAACTTTATAGCAAATATATTTAAAGTGTTATTACATTTATTAACTACTTGCTAGTCATTAACAATAATTTCTTTTTATTTTCTATATATAGTTAGTTATTATTTACCTTATAGTATTAATAGTTATTTAGCATAATAATTATTAAATAGTAAAAGTCCTAAGAAATCACATTTTGATGTTGAATGACAGTTCTTAATTCCTGTTGCTATAATATGGGATGGTTAATAGTACCAGATGAAAAATAACTATTGCTAACATAATAATTGAATATTGGAGAAAACAATTTTCTATGCAGGCCTTTGAGATGACATTGTTCTCCTTTAAAAATAAATAGCACTCACTCTTCAATGGCTATAGAATCTCAGTGTTGTAAGATGAAAAATTTTGGGAGGTCTGTTGTACATGATGTGCATATAGTTAACACTACTGCATTGTACACTTAAAATGTTTAAATGCTAAATTCCATGCTATGTGTGTTTTACCACAATAAAAAAAAAATTAGCATGCATTGGATTAAGCAAGGACAGCAAGGGAGTATAACTACTTTGGAAAAGACTCATGACTTCCCCATTTTCAATATCATGTAGAATTATATAATGTCATTAAGACTGAAATATTTAAATAGAAATACTATTAACTATAAGTTTTTTCTTTATATCATTATGTATACTTTATGGAAGTGTTGATGTTCAACAAGTTCCACAAAGACATGGATTGAGTAACTGTTAATAGGTCAACTCAACAACTTTTATTGTGATTGGTTGGCATCTGAATATTCTGATAATAATTCCTTTAATATATTTCAACAAAATGAACAACATGTATTCGACGTATTTCAATAAAATGCACAATTCATGTTAGATATAATTAACAAAATTCCTAGGATGCATGTATGGAATAAAACTTAAGCATGCAAAAATATTAGCTATTATTTCACAAGCTGGAGGATTAAGACATTTTTAGTGCTTCTGGGTAATTATGGACCAAGCAAGCTGGGCTTAACACTGTGCAATATAATTTCAGATAATGTGTTTAAAATGCTGTTGTTCAATGTTTACTTGTTCATCATGAACCAAACACTCAACAGGTACTCTGAATATGGAGATGAGTTAAGACCCAGCTTCCACATTCCATGATCTCACAATAAAACGTGGTGAGAAGTATCTCAGCAAATACCTTATAGAATAATAATATAAGAAGAGTAGTAGAAATATTCAAATTTTACAACAAAGAAAACATAGAGGGATGTTTCTTCAGGATTAACTGGAATAGAAAAAAGCAAGTATTTCCCTCACAATTTGTCCCCATGGTGTGATATATTTAAAAGGTAAGTGTCTTCTAAGATGAAGATAAAGAGAGATATAAGAGCAATGTCTCATGGAAAGTGGTTTGTTCAGCTGAACCTCCTGAGCATCTAATAAAATAGTATTTGCTATGGATATTTCAGGAAATATGCAAAATATCCATTGTAGCAGTCTTGAGCTATATATGGGGCTCATTCAACTTACATTTACATGCTTTCCTTTGTAATACATAGGTCCCAAAATACAGTATTGGAAGTTCTAACGTGGATTCTAAAATTGAAAAGATTTCTAAGAGAGAGTTAGGCTTTCATGATTGGTTGATTTAAAAGTCTTCAAAGTGGTTGTAATGAGAATGACAACTGATGCATTGATTAAATTGAGATAACTAGCTCAGCATACAGGTGATAATGTGATTTTTCCAAAAATGACATTTAGAAAAATGAGGACAAATAGTTCATAGTGCAGAACTCTGCAAGGCCAGGAGTGTATTAAATACGAAGGATAGGCATAATATTTATTGTAACATTATGTTAATATTGTAAACTATATTATTTTATATGAATAACTGCAAATTCACATTTTATTTGTAATTTTGGGTGGAAACACTTTTTTTTTCCTTTTTTTATGTTTTATTTTTAAGTTCAGGGGTACTTTAGCAGGTTTATTACATAAGTAAACTTGTGTCATGAGGGTTTGCTATATAGATTATTTTGTCACCCAGATGTTAAACCTAGGATGGTGGAAATATTTTAAGTGTTTTTTTCTTTTGATGTCTATTTTTTTGCGTGAATTGAGAGTCGGTAAAACTGAGAGTAAAACTGAGATTCACATGTTTGAAGAGAATGAGAGATACTTAGTATTCTATAACTGGAAAATCAAAGAAAGAGCTCAATAGAGAGTTCTCTTGAGTGGAAAAAACAAACAAACAAAACAGATGCTAAGTGTGCTGGTTATGCTACTTGTAGTCTTAGAATAATATCGACATTTTTTTTTACCAGGATCTATAACAGATTATAAACTTGGCCCTACTTACATATGTGATCTCAAATGGTTACACTATGCCATTTTAATTGCCTGATTACATGTCCCTCTCTGAGAGGTATTGAGTGTCAACCTTCCCTCTTAGTGGACTCCCCTTTCTCCAGCACAGTACTCCATAAAACCCTGTTGTTTTTGGTTAAATTTTAATTACTTTTAAAATTTGTTTACATATTTGATATAAGCTCCATAAATAACAGTAACATTTTCCTCTCTAATTTTATTTTGAAGTATCAGCATTTATCTATGAGTTTAAAAATTTTTATTAGTTCAGTTTGGTCTGTAATTGACTCAATTAATGTGTGTGGTAGTTAAGCTACAACTAATTCTGTATTGTTTAATAGATCCCTAGCTTGAGACTGAATATTGCTCATTTTTAAATTCATACGTGAATAGGTATGACAGGCACATTATGGGGTTGATCATCAGAGGCATAGTTGATGAAGGTTTAAGGAGCACTAATGCTTTTATTAATTCAATAAATATTGAGCATAAAACACAATCTGTATGCTAGACAAATGAATAAAGCAACTAAGGCATTGCAACCCCTTGACACTTACACTCACATTGATACAGGCAGGAAATAAGCAATATTCACAACAAATAAGTAAATTAAGGTACATGATAAAGTGATGATTGGTATGAATAACAATAAAATAAACAACAGAAAGAGCACTGCAATTGACAACAAAATGGTAAGACAGAAAGCTGGAGAGGAGGAGATCCTGGCAAAGATTTTGTGATAGGATTACATCTCTTTCTTTACACATTCAATCACACTACTTGATGATTCTGAAAGGAACATTATTTACTTAATTATAATTTTCAGTGTATTTGTTGGGGGAAGAAGGGAGGAAAGTAAAATGATGCAAAGAAATACACTCTAAAGATAAAACGGTCAATAGGTTTATCATTTAAAGCTGCAGAAGTCCCTCTTAGATCAGAAAGATATCCTGTGGGTACTTTAAGAAATATTAGTGTCTCACTATTTTTTTTTTTTTTTTTTTTTTTTTTTTTTTGAGACGGAGTCTTGCTCTGTCCCCCAGGCTGGAGTGCAGTGGCGCGATCTCGGCTCACTGCAAGCTCCGCCTCCGCCATTCTCCTGCCTCAGCCTCCCGAGTAGCTGGGACTACAGGTGCCCGCCACCACGCCCGGCTAATTTTTGTACTTTTAGTAGAGACGGGGTTTTACCGTGTTAGCCAGGATGGTCTGGATCTCCCGACCTCGTGATCCACCCGCCTCAGCCTCCCAAAGTGCTGGGTAGTTGGCCGTCACTTTAAAAAGGATTAAGAACAAACAGAAAGAAAAGTCAAAATTATTTTTTAAGTTGAGTAAAATACTCTGTAATATGAGATATTGATGAAGTTAAGGATAAAAAGTTGCAAAATATTTTTGTCACATGGAAGCAATATGTAATATTAAATAATTGGGTCAAATATAGTAAAGTATTGTACTTTTAATAAGAAAGGTGAGTGTAAAATTGTCACATATTATCACATCTACCTGTGGAATACAAGCATTAATACAAACAAAAGAGTCCTTCCATCAGACTCTGAAGTACCCAGTTATGTCTATGGAAAAAACATAGGCACAAGCAAAGTAGTAAGAATTAAAATATCATGGCATACAAACAAAAGAGTGCATATGGATATAGTCTGACATTCATTCTAAAAAACAACACTTTATAAGTATGCTTTTAAAAATATTAATATTATTACTAAATGTGATATAAGCCAACAACGATGCTGAAGGTGCTTTTAAGAATTATGATTTTTTTCATTTTCAAGAAACATAAATACCTTGCTTAGAGGTAGTACATAAAATTGATAAAATGCCACAATTTTACTAAATGTTCATATAATCAATCATCAGTAAACTTTTAGTTCATCAAATAAATTCTGATATTTTCCCCAAAGGTAGACATAATATAGGTAAGAAATCACCATAAATATTAGATAACCTGGAATAAAAACGAAGAATATTTTCAAAGTGAGGAGCTTTGATCATTGAATATGTGTTTTTAGATATGTTTTATAGAAAAAAATAAATCAATTGTTTATATGAGAAAGAAGAAAGTTGTGAGTTTAAGCAAGGGGTTACACCTTGGAGATTAGAAAAACCAATTCTATGAACAAGGTCATTTGGTCTTTGATATGCTTCTTCCCTCTCTACACTTTCACCATGATAAGGCACTAGGTGAAAAGAAAGGAAAAATTTTAATGGCAATTTAAAAATTGATTCCAGAGTGAAAAGCTTTTTCGAGTATTTCAAAAAAGTAGCCAGTGTACAGCACTAGAATACTAAACAACTTGTAGTTATTTCATTTAAAATAAAAGATTAAATCAAATGTTTAAAACAGTTGGCAAAATTATACACATAAGTAGAGATAATTATATAGCTTTTACTTATCATTGGAAGATAAGACTATTCTACTAAACAATACCTGATTTATTAATTTTCTTTGCTGTATTTTTCCAGAGTACCAGTATAAATCCTGGAGATAAAGATCACTGCAACTTTCAGTTTGTCTTTTAAGGAAAAGATTATTGTCACAAATTTTACCTCACATGCCGTAATTTACATGACTGTACTATAAGGCATATCTATTGGCTTTTGCTTTCAAATGTTAAGGTTTTTTTTTTTGTTTGCTTGTTTGTTTTAAAGACAGTGTCTTGCTTCGTCACCCAGACTGTAGTGCAGTGGTGTGATCATAGCTCACTGCAGCCTTGAACTTCTGGGCTCAAGTGATTCTCCTCCTTCAGCTTCCCCAGTAGCTAGGACTACAGATGTGTGCCACTATGCCCGGCTTGTTGTTGTCGCTGTTGTTGTTGCTGTTGTTGTTGTATAAACATGCCTTGCTATGTTGTGCAGATCAGTCTCAAACTACTGGCCTGAAGCAATCCTCCAGCCTTAGCCCTCCACAGCACTGGGATTGCAGGTATGAACCACACTGCACAACCTGGTAAAAATATATTTTGATACTCTGTTGTTGTCAAATTGAGAGATGCTACTCAGTAATATTTGTGCACTTAAAACATGAATTAAAGAGTAATTATGAGAAATCTACCTTGGTCTGTAGATTCCTAAAATTAGAGATCTCTCCCAATACTGTTCCAGTTGGGTCTATCTTCACCTCCCACTCGGAGCATTAAGAAAAATCTTCCTAACAGACTTACATATGTTTTTAGTGCACCCATTTTAAAATTTTCCATAGAGTGGGAAAAACAGTGCTTTTATGAAACTATGATCACATCACATTCAGTTTTAACTTAGTTCATTAGTTTCCTTTGCTCTTTCTCAAAGCCAAAAGCCAAAACTCATGTTTGCTAAAACTCCATTAAAGATTTAGTCCATTGCCTACCTATGAGCCTTACTTCCCTTGTCTGTCTGCCTAGCTCTAATTACTCCAGTTGACTGGAATATAGTTATTTTTGTCAGTGGCACCCTTCTCTCATTTTTGTATTCTGGGAAGACATCCCAATTATTCTTCAGAACTTAAGAAATATCAGCATGCCTACCTATCAGTAGATACATTTTATCTTGTCTTTGGAACGAATATGTGAGCATCAGTGAGATGTATATTTTATGGACCACATAATGACTACTATTTTTCAAGGAACCTCCTAACCTAGCAAGGACATCATTGGTTTAAAAGGAAACTGTGACAAATTCCATTTTCCTCAGGAAAAAAAAATTTAGAAATGGGAAATAAGTTAATATAAAAATATAAAATATATAAATCTCAGATTTTTTCAAATATGTTTTATAGATACAGTATTGATTCAATTTCAAATGTTGTTTGAATTTCTTAATAATAACTTAAATATGAGAGGAAGTCAAAATATATTTGAACTAATATAGAGATTTGTTAAATTTACTGAATAGGTAGAAACAAGATTATAATTCATAAACAACAATAAGCTTGTACACATCTAAATTTTAAGGCATCAATGACATCTAAAATAATAGTATTTTCAGGTAAAACTTTTTTCTTCACATAAGGAACGTTTACTTATAAACTAATATTATTGATATGGCTTGGCTGTGTTCCCACCCAAATTTCATTTTGAATTATAGTTCCCATAATCCTCATGTGTAGTGGGAGGGACCTGGTGGGAGGTAATTGAATCATGGGGGCAGTTACCTCCATGCTGTTCTTGTGATAGTGAGTGAGTTCTCACAAGACCTGATGGTTTTACAAAGGATTTTCCCCTCCTCCCTTCACTCTGCACTTCTCCTTGCTGCCACCCCATGAAGAAGGACGTTTTTACTTTATCTTCTGCCACGATCGTAGGCTTCCTGAGGCCTCTCCAGCCATGCTAGGTGTGAGTCAAACCTCTTTCCTTTGTAAATTACTGAGTCTCAGGTGTGTCTTTTTTAGCAACGTGAGAACGGACCAATACAATTATGTTTAAATATTTATATATAATTATAAACTAACAAAACTGGACACTAAAATTAGAGTATGTGGTAAAAATTTCCATAAGAAGGCTGTATCTGTTTCTAAATGATACGGTCTTGGTACAGCAACTGCTTGAGCCCCCAAGGTCAGCCCCCTCTGTCTACCTTTAGCAAAGAAAGGGTGGTGATAATATCACCAAAGCAACCAGTGAGTGGAAAGGTCTGAGGATAACAGTTATATACAAGGCAAATCAAGCCAACTAATGCTTGAGATTATGAACTTTATAATTTTTAATTAAAACTCTACTGGATATATTTTAACTAAGATTTCTTTCCCATTTTAAATTATGATTATACAATTAATTTTCGTTTTATTTTGGTTGTCAAGTGAACCTTTGTTGAGATATTTCCCTTATATCTTACTATCTGGGCATTGCACATACCTTGGCATTGCACATACCTCTGTTTATGCAATCTATGATACCATAAAGGTGGCAGCAACAGTGGTGTAGCCCACATTCTGGGTAGTACCGAGAATATCTTTAATGGTTTTAGAAGACTCTCTGGCTAAAGATCAGCAATGCATGTGTTGGGAAATGTTGACAATCTCATCAAAAGTGATCTTTTCACTATGTTTGATGTTCTGTTTCTTTCTCCTAGCAGTTCCTTCAGGGATTCGATGATCAGGCCAGAGGCAAAAAGCACCCCCTCAATCTGGGCTTGTCGGTTCTAAATGGTCAGTTTCACTGTAATCCTCGGACCCTCCCAGTCATGGGTTGCCTTGGTGATATTATTGCCAATCTTTGCTGAAGGTAGACCCAGGGGGCTGATCTTGGGGGCCAGGGCAGATGCTGCACCAGCTTTGTCACCAGAGTACTTCAGTTATGTGACTTTGAACTCATTGTGGTTGAATTTAGGCGACATTGTGGAGGCGGGAGGTGTCACATGAAGCTAGATATTGGGCAATCAAATAAGGATGCACCTTGGCCTTCTCTGATCCAAAGGCTGAAAGCTAAAATTATGACTTTTTTCAAATTTTAGTATGTATTTGGAGGCATCAGTTTTACTAAATTTATTTGATTACATTAATTTACATTAGTTTATTCTGTTAGGAATTCACAAAGATCCATATTTAAAACTTATAGTTTATTTTTATAATTTACTTTCAAGGACATAAATATGATTAATATTAGATGATTCTTTAAAATAAGGATATGCTAATGTGAACCTCATTATTCTTCTTGTATGGGTCCAGATAGCTACGTGTAAAGTCACCACAAAAAGGTCAGTGCCTGTTCATGCTAATTCTTAATTATGTTTTTTTAATAAAATATATTTAATGTTTTTATAATTAACACATAATAATTGTACATATTCATGGGGTACAATGTGATGTGGTAATGCACATATACATAGTATAATGATGAAATTGAGGTCATATCATATCCATTGCTTTAAAAATTTATTATTTCTTTCGTAGAAACATTCAAAATCTCTTCTAGCTGTTTTGAAATATAAAATACATTGTTATTTGCTATAGTCATCCTCCTGTGTAATAGAACACCAAAGCTTAGTCTTCCTTTCTAGCTGTAACATTGTATTCATTGGTCAACCTTATTCAGTTCCCCCAACACCCCTACACTCCCCAGCCTCTGGTAATCACTATAATCACTATTCTACTCTCTATTTTTATGAAATTGACTTTTTTAGATTTTACATGTGAGTGAGATTATGCAGTGTTTGTCTCTTTGTACCTGGCTTATTTCACTTAACATAATGTGGTCTAGGTTCATCCATCCATGTTGCCACAAGTTACAAGATTTTATCCTGTTTTACAGTTGAACTATAATCCATTGTATTATACTATGTGTATATATATATTCCATATATATATATATATAATGTTTCCTTTATTCATTAATCATGAGATGGGCATTCAGGTTGACTCCATATATTGGCTATTGTGAATAGTGCTGTAACATACTTGGATTTGCAGACTGATTTCATTTCCTTTGAATATATATCCAATAATGGGATTGCTGGATCATATGGTACGTTAAATCCACTGCATGTATAGGAGACCTTGAGGACAAATATATTCTTAACATTCACAGTTTCACAGATATAAAATTCACTCTTACTGTAGATATTAGCAACATGAGTAGGTAATTGTTTTCCTTTCCATATTAAGTCGGTAAGTTACACCTCCTCACTTAAAGGAACCACTTTGCAAGTTGTCTTTGGCATAGTCACATTTCCAGCATCACTACTCTTGCACTTTGGTGCCATTATTAAGTAAAATGAAGGTTACATGAACAAAAGCACTATGATACTGGGACCATTGATCTGCAAACCAAGATAGCTACTCAGTCAGTAATGGGTAACATATATCATTGTAAACTCATTTTAGAAAATCATGCGTACATGCAAGCAACACACCTCTACTAACACCACCACCACAGAGAAAAAAATTTAAAGCATTACAATTCTATTAATCACAGTTTCTATTTTTAAAATCTATGAATGTAGAGAAGAAAAAATTAAATTCAAAGGAAAACACAGTCAAAAAGAAGCCAACTAACCTGGATAGAGAACAACCATTGGCAACATAAGCATGCCTCACACTCAAGCAAACCTTTTTAAAAAGAGGACAGATAGCTGAGGTAAATAGTAACAGATTTAGCACTTATGACTTTCTTCAGTGTAAATCACCCACTTTCCTAAAGTGTTGGTCCTGTTCTGGGATAGCCTGTGATATGCCTGATTCAACAACCCACTCCAACTTTAATACTTTCTTTTTTTTTCTTAACCTATTTTTCTCAACTATAATTCAGTAAATACAGAAAAACCAGAGGTTGAAATGTATCTTTAGCACATGCCATTAAAAAAATGTTCTGAAACTATGGGTCGAAAGAACCAAATTCCTGTAAAACTAAAATATTGAAGATATTACTAGATCATGTACTACATTTTGTCAGATTCCTGAAAGTGTTACTAAAGAAATGTGAAAAATGTCTTCTTATTGTTAGAGAACTGGAATTTGGAAGATAAATTTTGGTGTTTAGGAAAACAGAACAGAATCTAAGAAGATTAAAGCCTTCTAGAGAGGGTTTGTTGAATTAATCTACTTATATTTACACTGCTATCACATGCATAAATATTATATATATATATTAGTTAGAACGACTGATATAGATAGATAGACAGAAGATAGCTTAAAAGATATTGCAGGTGCACTTCCAGACAACTTGCAAAAAAGCAAATATTGCAAGAAAGTGAGTCACACTAATTTCTTTCAATTTACTTTCCCAGATTCATCAGAGGAATCATTATCTATAGCAGTTATAGCCTTACAAACTATATTTCTTAACTAATAAGACTTCAATGTCAAAATTACTCCTTGATCCATGGGCTGCAGGAAAGGTGTTGTGTTAGCAGGCAAGAAAACAACATTCATCTCATTGTACCTCTTCATCAGAGCTCTTGAGTGCATTGTCAATGAGCAATAATAATTTAAAAGAAATTTTTTTTCTTGTAAAGTAGGTTTCTACAGCGAGTTTAAAATATTCAATAAGCCATGTTGTAATTGGATATGTTGTTATCCAGACTTTGTTGTTCCATTTCTAGGGCATAGGCAGAGTCAATTTAGGATAAATCTTAAGGACCCTAGACTATTCAGAATGATAAATGAGCATTGGCTTCCACCTAAGTTCCCCAGCTGCATTAGTCCCTTGTAAGAGTCATTTGTCCTTTGAAGCCTGTTCTTTGAATACTTTTTTTTAATGGATGGGGTCTTGCAATGGTGCACAGGCTGGACTTGAACACTTGTGCTCAAGCAGTGTTTCTACCTCAACCCTCTGGGACAACAGGCCTGTGCCACCACACCCACCTGTCTTTTAAAGCTTTGAAGCCAGGAATTGACTTGTCCTCTCTAGCTATGGAAGTCCTTGATGGTATCTTTTTCCAATAGAAGGTTGTTTCTACTACATTGAAAATGTATTGTTTGGTGTAGCCACCTTCAAAAATTATCTTAGCTAGATCTTCTGGATAATCTGCTGCAGCTGCTACACCAGCACTTGCTGCTTCACCTTGCACTGTTATGTTCTGGAAATAGCTCCGTTTGTTAAACGACAAGAACCAACTCTCTACTAGCCTCAATTTCTCTTCAGCAGCTTCCTCATCTCACTCAGCCTTCAGAGACTTGAAGTCAGGAATTGCCCTGGATTAGGTGGCTGATTTGATCTCTTCAGACCGCTAAAATTTCTCCATATGATCAACAAGGCTGTTTTGGCTTCTCATCGTTCATATGTTCACTGAAGTAGCACTTGTAATTTCCTTCAAAACTTTTATTTTGAATTCAGAACTTTGCTAACTGGCACAAGAGGTCCAGCTTTCAGGCCTGTCTCAGCTTTCAACATGCCTTTCTCACTAAGCTTAATTATTTCTAGTTTTTTATTTAAAGTGAGAGACATGTGACTCTTTTATATGAACACTTAGAGGCCAGCGAAGAGTTCTTAATTGGCCTGCTTTCAATTGTTGTGTCTTAGGGAAAAGGGAGGCCTGAGGAGAGGGAGAGAGACGGGGAAATGGCCCGTTGAGGGAGCAGTCAGAACACACACAGCATTTATGCATCAAGTTTGCTGGCCATTTATATGAGCATGATTTGTGGCACCCCAAAACTATTACAAAAGTAACAGCAAAGATTACTGATCACAGATCACGATAATAATTATAATAATAATTATTTTAAAAGTTTAAAACATTGTGAGAATTACCAAAATGTGACACAGAAACATGAAGTGAGCATGTGCTGTTGGAAAAATAATTCTGATAGTCCTGTATGATTCAGGCTTGACACAAGCCTTTTATTTGTATAAAAATCACAGTATCTGTGAAGTGCAGTAAAATGAAGCAAAATTCAATAAGGTATGTCTGTATATGGTATTAATTTATGAGAATTAATATGAATGCTCAAGGTATAAAATTTCATATTGTTAGATTTTAATACCAAAGTCCAGATATCAATAGAATATAGTGTCAATGGGGTTTCACCATGTTAGCCAGGATGGTCTTAATCTTCTGACCTTGTGATCCGCCCGCCTCAGCCTCCCAAAGTGCTGGGATTACAGGCTTGAGCCACCGCGCCGGGCCTTGAATTTTTAAAAGAACACTTCTGCTGCCGGGGGTATATTCAAAAAAAGGAAATCTACATATCAAAGAGATACCTGCGTGCCTGTGTTTTTGCAGCACTATTCATGAAAGGCAAAATATGGACTCAATCTGTGTCCATCAGTGAGTGAATGGATAAAGAAAATGTGGCATATATACACAATGGAATATAATTCAGCCATAACATATAATAAAATCCTATCATCTGTAGTAACATGGATGGATCTGGAGGTCATTATGGTAAGTGAAATAAACCAAGCACAAGAAGACAAATATTGCATGTTCTTACTCATATGTGGAAGATTTAAGAAGTGTATCTCCTGAAGAGAGAAATTACTGGTTACCAGAGGCCAGGAGGGGTGGAGAAGAGTGGAGGAAATAGATAAAGAAAGGTTAATTAATAGGTAAATATATACTCTTACACAGAAGAAATAAAACTTGAGGATTAGTGGGGTGACTATAGTTAACATAGTTGTTTGTAGACTTCAAAATAGAGAAGAGAATAATTTGAATGTTCCTAAAGAAATTATAAATATTTAAGGTGATGGATATCCCAGTTACCCTGATTTGATTATGTAAATGTACCAAATTGTCACATGTACCCCCAAAATATGAACATCTAATATGTATCAATGAAAATAAACAAATATAATAAACATTTAAAAAATCATATATAAATATTATTTATGATTTGATGGTTTATTTTCTTCTATCTATGGAGTTTTTCCTTATTTTGGTTTTTTTATATAAAAGATAGTATTTGAATATTTAAAACAAACAAATGAGACCCTTAGCATTAACTGTTACGCTCTTTATTTTATTTCATTTCAGTTTACTTGTTTATTCTGATTGCTCAAGTTAGCATCAAGGAGTTTATCTAGAGTTAAGATCTGGGGAAATGGTGGTGTTTGATTGCATTTCTTTGCTCAGAAGATATGTGGAAATGCCCTTGAATGTTCAATTATCTCTGTTAGATTTTACCATTTTAATCCCTTGGAAATATTATTTATTCTTTGAGAACTTATGACTCACTTTTAGAAGTTATATATATGTTTTGTTCCCATTATAAGAAAGTATTTCTTCATATAGAGGGTGTTGCATTATGTATTACACAGGTGTCATTATATGAAGATACACAATAATTTTTTTTACGAAGTTTGCCTATATAAGCCACTGCAACAATACAAATAATGATGTTGTCATGCTTTATAATATATTGTTTGGTCGAAAATTAATTTTATGTACAAAGGTGTCTTAGAGACATAAAGCCGTAAACTTCTCATAGTCAGTCTTTATATTATTTTTTTTCTGTGTAAAATTGAGAGATGTGAGACCAAGAGACAATTTAATTACCTATTGTTACATTTATTATAAACAGCTTGTTAAGCAACAAAAGAAATTTTCACGTTAGCTATTGGAGAAATACATGAATTTATAATAGCTATTTTTATAATGAAAAAGAATAAGAAGTGCTATAACGTAACATGTTTTTACTCTTTGTGCAAGCTCATACTTATTTTGAAGAACCTCACTTTTTTCTAAATGTCAAAATAAGAATTTGAATGTTAGTGTTCTTCACTTGTGATTTCATTGGTTTACTTAATTATCAACAATTGGACACTGATAATTTCTGTCTCTTACAGCCTCAATGATTAGTATTGTTTCTGGAGATTATAGTTTCATCTGCATTTCCAATTTGATGATAATAACGTTCATAATTAAATTGATTTACAAAAGATACTAAATTTTAAAATAATTTAAATATTAGAAATACATCCATAAATCTTTAAAGAGCAGTTTTTTTTTTGGCAGAGTGTCTATTTTTTCAGCAAGTAATATTTTATCACTGACTGTTTAGAATTACCTGTACATGATGATAACAGGAAACAGACTCACTTTTAGTCATTATCATTATTGTTTTAAAATCTCTCTATATAACATGAACAATTATTCCTTACATTTGAGAGCAGATTGTGTCTAGTAATCCAACAAGGTCGTATTCTTCCTCACAACTTGTTCTTCCTTGTAATGGCTGGTAGGTATATTCTAATAGCATTTTACAATACGGAAATTTTTCAAAATTGTTAAAATGTGAAAAGACACATCTTTGAACTTGTGAAACAGACTGTGTATAGTTAGAGACAAAATGTATGTTAAGATGTATATCTATCATGTATATCTATATTATATACGTGTATACACACACACAAACACATAAAAAAAGATTCATTTAAATAACCTCCTATATGACCAGAATAAATAGCCAAATTTTGAAGGTTTGTATAATTTCTGTAGCTAGCATATGTAAGACAATAAATAACAAGTAAATAATGAATTCCCAATGCGTATATTATCCAAACATTACAGAATCTGTATTAACATCTCAATAATTAATATAAAGCATTTAGCAATCTGTTCTTATGGAAATTATCATTTCCTTTATTCTATTTGCATTGTGGTTTTTAATAATCTGAAGTTTTCCACACCAACCTAACTCTATGTCTTTGAAATTGCCACTTATTTGTATTATGAGATGCATATTAAGCATAGAAAATTCTGTGTTTTTGTTTACAATTTCCCATCTTCAATACAGTATTTTCTTCTATGATTTTTTTGGTAAACTCTTTCTTTATTGAAGTAAGATCTTCTTAAGAAGATAAATGTGGACATTTATGAGGAAGAAAGTTGTCACCTAAAATACATATGCCTTACTTGTCACATAAGTATGTGTATGCATTTTTGAACATGACCAGATTTTCATAGTTGCATCCTTCCTATTTGTAATGCATTATTACATATTTAGTGTAACACTGATATAAATAATAGAATATATACTTTAAATTTCCCCTTTCCACTGCTTTTATTGGAGAATAACCATTTGTTTTATTACCTCTATTCTACTTTATTGAACCCACCACTTTTCCTGTGCTTTTGTCCTAACCAAATCCACATGTAGATTGTAGTTGTCATACTAATATTGTATCAAAACTGGGAAATAAAGAGTTAAACACAAGCTGTAGCCTATTCACCTCTATTGGGAACCTCTGTATGATGTAATGAATGACCCCCAAAAATCTACTTCTAAACATGATAATGATCCCCAACTTGATCTCTTAGCAGAAAGTAAAAAATATATTAAATTTTAAATTGATTTTAGTATTATTTCTGCTCAAAACTGTTTGCCTTAATCCAAAACAATAATGGACCATAATTCTGGAGCAAAAGGCTACATTTTTTTTTTGGTGGGAAATATGGGAAATATGAGCATCAGAGATGCTTGGACTTCTCTAAGAAAAGAATGTTTTGCCTCTATCTGGTGATTCTCTGTAGTAATTGAATTTTTAGTAACGTTAGTATTGGATGAGTTTTATAGTGTGTATGAGTCAAAATTAACATTTCAATTCTTTTTCTTATGATGTAATGAATTCTTCTGATTGCATGTGATTTGCAAAAATCACCATTATGTATAGGGTGGAATATGTTTGGATTGCAGTATGTCTTCTCTTCACCAAAACTTCTACTGGTAATAGTAGCCTTTACTCAATTAAGGTCATATTTTTATTTTTATTATTATTTCTATTTATCTTTATTAGCGTTATTATTTAAGCAGTTCTATAAATGCTATTTCCATAGCTTTTTTATTCCAATTTTGACAAATGCAAATATATTTGGAAACATTTAATTTATTTGTCTTTGATGTAACTTAAAATGAATGCATCATTTTCAAAATTTTTGTATTTGTTTAATACTTTCTCTGCAATATTTAGTTCAATTATGGCAGTTCTGATCGAAATTCAGTTGCAAAATCACGGCTGAGTTACTTTAAAAAAAAAATCCTATAATGCCTTCCCAAAACTAACTCTGTGAGTTTTAAAGTTGGAACATGTAGTAGAAGATAAGTTTTAAGCAGCTGAAAATATATTTAAACCAGGATAGATTTAAACACTCTAGAGTTGGAGTAACTAATTTAAAGTTACCCGAACAGTCTGACTCTTTTTCTTTTATTGGTCCTGAAAGGAGGGAGTAGAGGAAATGGCTTTCAAAAGCAGGGAGCAGCTGAAATGTATCAGGTATATCTTGAATTAAAATGATCTACTATACTGACAAGAAACTAGCAACCTTGAATTGCTGTTCAGATTTGTTGTAGTTAATAATCCTGAGTGTTATAGGGTCATCTTTAAAACATATTAACTGCACTACACTATTAAATGTCTGTAGATGAAATGTGTGTTATTATGAATGAAGAATATGGGTCTATGTGCATTTGGGGGTAATTTGGTTTCTTTCAGCATGATTTATATGTAGGCATAGAGATAACTTAATCCACAAGAGATGTGCAAGTAATTTATTTCCAACCATTGATGTAAAACTGGACAATAATTTATATGCCTTTTAATGGGATGCTGCAGCCAAGGCATATGACATTGAATGATACAGAAATTTTGTCACTGTACTGTTTATCTTTGGCTTGCACACTTGGACATTTCTGATACAATATCAAATGATTCTCTTTTTGTATGTGCGGATACACACACACACCACATACACATTATCTGGCATGGTTTCAAGTAGAAACTAAATGCTCAATGTTCAGTGTTGGCAGTTTTTACTTAAATTAGATGGCTACCATATTTCAGTCAAGAAATAGATTACAACATTATTAGGTGCCAAAACAAATAAATTTCAGGACATCACATAAGAAGAAATTTTATTTCATAAAGAGTATGATGTTCCTTTCTTTCCTACTGAGGCTGTCATAGAATTTTACTTGGCACATGGTAATTTTTTTCTCATGAGTGTTTTATTATTTATTCCATAGGAATGATTATGAGCTACTTCAATTTTATTTTACCTTAGTTTTTAATCTTATAAAGTATTATAATGAGCAAAAGAGAACATGCATTTACTATCTAATAAAATATATTTCAGAAAAAAGTATTCCATTCTTGCATACAACTAATTACACAAAACTAACAAAAACAACTTTTAGATTATCTAAATGTCAGAGATTATACATATTATTTTTAATAACTCACAATAATGAAAATATATATTTATAATTTAACCTGAAATTATAGGCCAAAAACAAATTTTAATTCTTTAATATGCTATCTATAATAGATATGCTATCTATATGATAAATTTTCATTTTATCAGCAAATTTTTTCTCGAAGAAAACTCAATTGCCCTTCTACTATTGGTTGTGGTTATTTTTTCCTTTGAACATAAGTTCATTTTTATCAATTAAATAGTGCAACCTTGGAACGCTAGTGCTGTTAAAGATGGACCTATTCAATTCTAGTTTTCCCACAGATTACAATGGAAAGTTCTTGACAGAATATATAAAAACAGCTATCCAAGGACTCTGAAAAATAAACAAAAGCACGTGGATTGAAAGGGGATTCAAAACCTCAAGAAAGACCTGTACAGCACTGAGGCGATTTATTTTGTCTTCTTTTGTTTCTTTTTTAAACCTTTGGCCCAAGGATGGGCCTGAGTCCTGGAATTGCTTAATAGGCACAGGCAGCAAAGCCTCCGGAAGAAACCCGTCTTTTCCAACTACAAAGCTGGCAAAAATAAATCCTGTCAGCTGGAGAGTGCATGAGGAATCCCTATTAGCTGCTTGTTAGCTGTTGCTTTTTGTTTGTTTAACATTTGTATACCAATCCCAGTGAAGAAACTATACTCTGGGATGTCGAGAATGTCGAGAAGGAACTAAACTCTGGGATGTCAATGGCAGAATGGTCCTCAAACATCCCAAGGAAAACTCATGTCTCAGTTCTAAAAAAAAAAAAAAAAAAAAAAAAAAAACAGGAAAAAGGACCTTGTTTCTCCAAAGAAAAAGGGGAAAAAACACCATTATTTCCCCTTTTATCTCACTGCATTACTACGAGGGAACTATAAATAATCAGTCAATAGTATAGTAATGTACCGTCAAAGCATAGTACATTTACCACAGTATTTAGAGAATTGAGCTTGCTAATATTAATACCAGCAAAGTAGTTTGGAAGAAATATGAGTTTATTCCTTTTATGTAGATATTACAACAGATTTCAGCATTGGCTCGACTCCCACTCTCTTCAACACCATTCCTGTCAAAATTTTCTTGTTAATTGTAGTCATGTAAATAATACTGGAAATATCTTGGCATCTATAATTTTGATCCTACTCACTCCAGTCTCTGGACATCACATGCTATGGCTCCAGGTCACTTAATTCGATGTAGCAACACCTGAATCTAGAAGCCTATCAGAACCTTGCACATATCCTTCACTCCCTTGTCTCCTTTAACTTCATTTTGCTACTCTGACCAAACAAAAATCCAGTCTCAGGTTGTTTCATGTCTGAACCCACATAGCTAATTACAGCCAGAGTACAATACAAAGCCATAGTAATGGAGCCAATTTAAATTCATACTAATTGACCTAAGTGTGCTCCTTAATGCTTTACTAAAATGTCTCTAGCCCCTTAACTGCCCTACTTCCCTTTACTACCCTACTTCTTTTTATTATCCCACTCTTCTGGATATGTTTAAGGGATTTTCTTTTTTCCTTTAATTTCCACCAAGCTGTTGCACATTCTGAGCTTCCACTTTGACATTGCTCTCCATTTCCCTTAGAAATAAAACAAGGAGATGACCTCTGCGTGCTCCATTCACAGCATCTGCCCACCTGCACCTAAGCCCATACTTTGACTTTTCTCCTGTTACTATTTTCTCCATGTTTCTCTATATTTCTACAAGAGTATTTAATGCCATTTGTATATAAAAATTGTATCCTCCTTAAGTAACTCAAGCATGTTGACAATTTTTCAGTTCCTCTCTTGTATCATCATTTTCTTCATTCTATTGGAAGCTTTCACATATTCAATAAGAAGTTTTTTTTTCAATTTTAAAAATAAATAAACTCATGAACAGTCTTCACCTTTCTTTACTGTATTTTTTTTCTCCTTCCCTTTGCAAACAAAAAGCAACAACCAAAACCACAGTACAAAAATCTTCGAGGTGCCATCTAAGCTCATTTCCTCTATCTTTTCTCTTAATCTTTTTTTCTACCAATACGAATGAAGCTGGCACTTGCAGCACTCCACTGATACTCTCTTAGGAAGGTCATCAGTAACATCCACTACTCTTAGACTGATGGCAAAGTCTCAGTTTTCATTATTCTTGACCCATCCAACACAGTTGAAGGTGAACATTAATACCTCATTTATAAATGAGCCTAAATACTGTCATCATATAATTATTTGACTACTGTTCTTATCAGCTGAAATGTGCAATATCTTTATTTTGGTAAACTTGATAATGTGATTCAATAAGAAACAAAATCAATGTTACTTAAAATATCCTTGAAACAAATGTTAATGGAATTATGTATTGTGAATATACATAAATATTACTTGGTGTGCTAGTTCATTATTGATTTTGTGCTCAAGGTACATTGCTGACTACTAAATTTTTTGGATAGGAATTAAGGTACTAAAATAGCTTTTAGTTATTTAAAAATTTTCAATATTATCATCTGAATATCCTCTGCCACTAAGTCAATAAAATAGCAAAAATGTAAGCTCCAAAACCAAAACAAAAAAATGTGCATGTATTACTCTGCTTATGCTCTTGTGTATATTTGAGGTTATTGCAATTTTGAAAAACAAAATTTTTACATACTTGATGCTTGACTAGTACATATTATCAACTGAGCAAGAAAATTTGATTACTTCAATTTAAATTTAGCATATTCCCTGAGATTCATTAATGGTAATTATATTTTTGCACCAGGTGTTTCCAGAGGAGAATGATATTACTGGAAAGATGATAGTTTACTTATGCTGTTAGTAATCTTTTCATAGACACCAGATAATAGTCTATTAATTGATTGCTTTATAATGCCACAATTTTTTGTTACATAATAAAGCCTCTGGAGTTCAAGATTGTAAAATTAAAATGTCTATTTTTTAATGTAATGTTGGACTGTGTAAAGCCAGATAAATACGTATATATCCATGTAATGGAATATGTAAAAAAAAAATACATAGCTCTACAAAAGAAATCTCAATATTTTTTGATGGATATATTTTACAGCTCACTTTTCCCCATTTTAATGCAAAATAATTAAAAATGAGTTCTTAATGATTGAAAAATAAAAAGCTACTGGATAAAAATACTATACAGCATTTATAATAACAGATAAATGTATTATATTACATAATAAAATTATTAGAAAATGTCACCAGATACACTAAAAAAGAATGCATGGCCTTAATTCTGCTTTTTTCTTTTTAGTCTACATATATGATACTAAAAAATGTGCATCATAATAAAGGAAAAAAGTGAAAAGACAGACTCAGTAAATATAATAAGAGAATATAAATACACAGAAATAGAAAATGCAGACATAGAGAGATTATACGTAAATATTTTTATATGATGTCTGTTTTACAACAGACAAAACTGTGTAATACAATATAAATACTTCTTAACAAGTATGAGAATAACAATATAATTATGAATGAAGGGATTTGAAAACTCTAGGAATACAATATGCATCACTAGGAATAGGTTGCTTAAAACATAAAATAAGCAATTCATTTGATTCGTTCCTCCAATGCCATTAGCAAAAATGGAGATTAATTCCCACTTCATTAGAAGTGAAATGGGAATACTATTACACATTTATAATTAATTACGATAATTTGAAGAGAATAGCTTGTAACACTCCGAAATGTTGATGTTGTAACACTCCGAAATGTATATGTTGATGAATTAGTAGTTTTCAAACATTTATTTTAAATGTACACTATGCAGAAGGAATAAGGAATATTCTTGGAGTTAGATATATGAGTGAAATATTATTTTAATTTTAATTTAATTTAATTTAATTTAATTTTTTTGAGACGGAGTCTTGCTCTGTTGTCAGGCTGGAGTGCAGTGGTTCGATCTCGGCTCACTGCAACCTCCGCCTCCCGGGTTCAAGCAATTCTGCCTCAGCCTCCCGAGCAGCTGGGACTACAGGCGCTCGCCACCACGCCCAGTTAATTTTTGTATTTTTAGTAGAGACGGGGTTTCACCATGTTGGCGGGGATGGTCTCTATCTCTTACCTCGTGATCCGCCCACCTCCGCCTCCCAAAGTGCAGGGATTACAGGCATGAGCCACCGCGCCCGGCCTTGAAATATTTTTGGGTTGTATCAGTTTAGAAGAAAATGTATTAAAGTTGTTATTTATTATTTTTGTCTTCTTAGGCTAACCTCCTTTTTTGAAGATAATCTTTCTAGGCTTCTATTTTCAAAACTCGATTGAAATTATTCTCATCTTTGTCACTGAGAACTTCCAAGATCAAATCCTGTGGTCATTTCATCACTGACATCTCTTTATAGTGCTCACCATAATTAATGATTTTTCATTCACTTAACAAATATTTCTCAAATATACGTTCTGTGGAAAACTAAAGAATAGTAAAATAAAACAAACTTTTGCCTTGATGGCTCTCCATCTTAATGGAGAAAATATTCATCAGTATTTACCAATTCCTTAGTCTTAGAGGCCAACCTCTGTGAATGAAATGTTCTCAAATAACTCATAATTGAATGTCTCAGGGACAGAAATATATAACTGAATAGTGAAATTATATCTTTTTTACTGTAATATAACTACTCACTATACTATGAATGAAATTAGATATCATTTAAATTAAATATGATTTGCTTATACTTTATTTTGAAAAGTTTATTATGAAATTATGTGTAAAGTTGCTATGTAGATTATCAGTTTTGTGTGTGTTTGTTTTATACCATCAGTATTATGATATACTTAATGTGGAGACAGACATACATTTGACAACATTTTTTGAAAGTAAGAAAAATGAAAATAAATTTCACTAAGCATAATCTTGTAAGAGAAAAGTTATCTTGACAATAACAATGGAGGAGATATAATTTCAGAAATAATTATGAGTCCCTTACTTGTGCCAACTCAGCCAAATCATCTTCTTTTTAAATATTAAAATTCTATCATAAACTGATATTGGCATTTTTGAACATTTAGTGTTAAGGGCTACATACTAAGTAACATACATTTGTTGATTCAATAATCTGCTTAACAAATATTTATTCAATTACTTACATTCTATGATATATACTAGATTTTAATCATTAAAAATAAAATAATAAAACTAAAATAAAAGATATATTCCTCAAGTTCACAGGATGTTAATCTCACAAACCATTATGTCATTTATTTATTAAGGCTCAGATTAGTCCTTTTATAAATCCATTTCTAGGAAATCATATTTAAAGTGTTATTTTATGAAGAAATACATAGTTGCAGGCATTAAATGTCAAAATAACAATTTATAATTTATGCAGAAAATGTATAATCTTTACTAATATATTTTGATGTTACCTTTTAAGAATGATACTCAAAGATTCATACAATTGGCATATAAATTATTAAACACAAAATTGAATGCCGCTTATTTTCTTTAGTTTACTACCAAAGATGTTGAACTTTCTGAAGAAAAGATTGAAATTCTGAAAAACATTCTAGTAAAAATCTGCTCTTGTGAAATGTTACCCAATGTCCACAGCTTCAATAGATTGGATTTTGAAGCTTAAACCTTTGAAGTTTAGTTCACTTAATATCATGGAACTTGATTCCTTACTATGAATCAACTTCATAGTAAGCTGTGCTACTCAAACCATTGTGGTCAGTCTTATACATAATATATTTTTTTCTTTCTAAGATTACTTGCAACTCAAAATCATTTTGTATTTGATAGTGGATGTTGCTATACCACTCTTTTCAAAATATGTCCTAAGATATACAAAAATAGCTTCAGATTCTTTCATGTTCAGTCTTTCTTTTTCTTTTCTTCATCTTTTCTTCATATATTAAACTTCTAACATTGGCTTCTTACTTTTTTTTTTAATGAAAAGGCGACAATTCTGTGTGTGTGTGTATGTGTGTGTGTGTGTGTGTGTACATCTGTTCAATGATCTGTAGGTATTATTACATTCTCTTAACTTTCTTTCAGTTGGGCATTGCCATGGGAAAAAAATTAAAGTACTTATGCTTTCATGCGTTGATGTCTTTCTAGTACCAAACCTCTGCTAAAGACCTCGAGGAAGGAAGAAATTATGCCTAAGTACACAAAGCTCTTTTTATATAGACGGAGAATAAAAAGTCAGAGTCAAACTAAAAATCTAGATATTAACCTGTAGATAGTACTCCTAAATTTTTGAAAAGATACCTTTAAATAGTAAATATATTAATTTCTGAATATGTGTCTTTCTGTTTGATTTTCTATTCAGATATATAGATTTTTATTAAGCAATAATTATACAGATGAAATTATGCCTTCGTTTACTTCAAATTTATTAGCATTTTGCATGTCTGAAGTAAAAATAACTGAAAGCTTTAATGATAAAGCTTAATGATAATCTGATTTAAATAGTTCACAATGAAAGATAGAATACTTGACATCTTGTGTAGTATTTTTTATAGACTTTAAAACATTAATGGGAAATTCTTCTAATACGTGAATGAAATAAACTGGGATATGGTGCCAAGATCATATATTGGGGAAAGTCTCTTCAATAAATGGAGCTGGGAAAACGTTTTCACTGGGCTTCTAATTTCCGCCATAAATTCATATAATGGTACGTGAGACACAGTTGCAGTGAGCAGAGTTTATTAGCACGTTGCCACACCTGATAGATGATCAGAGGTGAATTGTCTACCTTCTCGTATCCTTTATCCTTTTCCAGATGCAGTTAGTACTCCATTCACTTCAAGGACAGCATGTAGGATGCTTTTTAATTAAATTGAAGTACCATTAGACAGTTCTCTCCTTTTCGTTTTGCAGATATACTTGACAGCCATACAGCCACTTATTCCTTGCTTCATGCTATATGGACTTTCAGATGAGTGAAATAATCAGGTCACCAGGAGGTGTGCCAATAGGAAAGTTGAGAAATTATTACTTATCTGTGCTGGATACATATGTGAGAAAATAGAAGTGAGCATCCTGACCATAGAGTGAAGGTGGTTCATCCAAAGATTTTCGTTTTAGTGGTTTTATCATTTATCATACGGTTGAAGATGTTTTTGCTTTATCGTTAAGGCTTTGCAATTTTGCAATAATTGGATTAACAGTCAAAAGAAAAAACACAAATACATGTATTTATTTTAAAATTATGCATCAAATTTGTTTCTCAAAGTCATAATAAGTATAAAACTTCACATAGTATTTGTGAACATTCACCATGCAAACCTAAGTTCATCGTAATACCACTATCTTTGTAAAACACAAACTTGCTTAAGCTGAAGCAACACCTACTTCAAAATAAAGTTGTGATTTTAAGAAGATTGTGCCATAAACAATGATTTGAAACATAAAGCATACGTTTTCTTTTGGATGCTTCCTGCCAATTATTTTTCCTCATTTAAAAATCCAACTTTTCTTGCGCATACAAAAAAATGAAGCAGTAGATTTTATTGAGTTTGCTTTATGAGAAGGAACATCCTAGTTAAAATTAGAGGCTAGCAACTGCATATCAGCCTCATCAGATTTTCAAACAGAATAACTGTTAATCTTATTTTTTCAATCTATGCATTCAAAATAACAATTTCAGAAGATTTGTTCATTTGAAAATTGGAACTTTAAATATAATCTTCTAGTTTTTATTTTAAGGTCTTACAAAACATTTAACATTAAACAAAGTATTTATTTCGTGATGAAAAAATGAACGTAAACTTCAGTGGAACATAGTAGACACAGTTTTCTAAGTGTTGGCAATAATGTGTACTACCACTTCAGTGTCACCTTAATGCTCAGATAATAACATTATTCTTATCTTTATATAGAGATAAATACAATTTTTATTTTAGAATATATATTTTTGAAATTAGTTTTTGTATAAAATAACATTAAAACAATTATTCGACCATAGAAAAATATTAAAAAATTTGAAGTATCTAATATTTTATCAGTTTCTTTTAAACTTTTAATATTTCATTTTGGAAGATAAGATGTAATTATTTATAAATAAGTTAATAAATAAGTTACTTATTTTAAGGTAATTGAATTTCTGAAGAATTTAACCTATCTTGTAAGATGCTGCACCACATGGACCTAGGTTGTCTGTTTACTCTAAAAACTCTAAAATGTGGACAGAATGACATCTGAAGCCTTCTAGTCTGAAAAATGTTCATAGTAATAGGAAATCAAAATTCAAGCAAGCTTCAAAGCAATGCAGTGTATTTTGTGCACTGAAAGACTACAAAGGTGTCAGTGGTGGTTTAGGATTACTCTGCCCAGCATTATGATGGTTCCCTGGCCATGTTAGATTAAGAGCTAGATAAAGGAACCCTCACTATGAGGGTCCAGTAATTGGTCTGGTGATCCATATGTTGATTGTGGTTGTAACTTCTGTATTTTGAGCTTAGCTTTCTGTACATAAATGTATGAGTTTCAGTGAAGTAAATTCACTAATAAAGTAAAAGGCATTATTCTCTTGACGAGTTAGGACTGTTAATTAAAAAAAAAAAAAAAAAAAAGTAAGAGCATTTGAATAGCACGACCTGGGAGGGAAACTAACCCGTTTGTAAAAACCTGGGGCAGAGGCTAGTTTCCAGAAAATGTATTTGAGGTGAATTTTCTACATCTGGGGATTGACAGAATCCTTACATAACTGAAAGGCTATTTTTTGACACAGAGAATTATTACTGATTTTAGTCTTGGTTAACGCAGGGCTTTATGACTGTATTAAATAATTAAAAATTCAATTATTAAAATATTACCCACCAAATTATTACATAAAAAATTTAAAAATCATTACATTGTTTTTCAAATAATTATTACTTAAGCATTGTAAAAACTTAATGAAATTCCCCTAGGTATATCAATAATAAATAATAAATTGGTTTTTTTCTCTTAAATCTACCACATAGCTTAAAAGCACACATTACTGCCATGATTTAAATTTTATTATACAGACATTTAAACTTTGTTCAAAGCTATAAATACTAGGAATTTAAATTATGTTTTTATTGAGCTACATGATATGCTTTCTTATATTAATTTTTGTACATCTCCCTTTTATAACACCATCCCTCTTAATTTCACCAGTAACTAAGAAGCCCCCAAAGATGGCCCTTCCTGGTCGCATTCCTCTGTCTTCTAAATTTATAATCCTGAATTTTACTTAAAACATCATTGGTTGGGCACAGTGGCACATGCCTGCAATCGCAGCACTTTGGGAGGCCGAGATGGGCAGATCACCTGAGGTCAGGAGTTTGAGGCGAGCCTGGCCAAAACGGTGAAACCCTACCTCTACAAAAAATACAAAGATCATCCGGAAGTGGTGGCACTGCCTATAATCCCAGCTACTCAGGAGGCTGAGGCAGGAGAATCTCTTGAACTCGGGAGGCGGAGTTTGCACTGAACCGAGCTCGCGCCACTGCACTTCAGCCTGGGCAACGGAGTGAGACTTTGTCTCAAAAAAAAAAAAAAAAATCAAATGTAAATAGGTCTCCCTGAAACAGAAATTCATTGAACTGACATCAGATTTTGTTATCCTGTTAAGTATGAAATGGAGCCATTGTGTTTTTTATTTACAATTTTGTGGTTCTAATTAAAAATGAGTTTGAATACATTTTCATAAACTATGGACAATTTATGTTTTCTCTTATTTGAAAGGAATTTTATTTTATTTTTATTTTTTTGTCTCAAGTTTACTTAACAAAATTTTACCAATTTATAGATAGTGTTCTCCATCTTAGGCTTTCTTCTGAAAAATTAAATTCTTAATTTTAATATAGTCATTTATGAATCTGTTTTATGAACTATGCTTTCAAACAATTGGATAATTTTAATTGCTATATCTTCAAATTTTTCTCTGCTTTACTTCATTCTTCCTTCTGCTTCATTTAATTCCATTGCATTAGATTTTTATATCACCTTCTAGGTCCCTAAGGCTTGCCTCATTTATTTTTCTATTTAATTTTATTTTCCCTGATGACTATTTTGAATTAATCTTATTGGTCTACTATAAATTAACTGACATTTCCTTCACTCTTCTCCAATGTGCTATTAAATTCATACTCTGAATTATTTGTTTCAGTTATTGTGTTTCTCAATTCTAGAAATTTATTTTGGTACTTTTTGATTTTTTTATTGTTCTGCTGTGACATCTAATTTGTTCATTCATTATAAGCATATTTTCCATTACCTCCCCGGTTATATAATAGCTTCCTTAAATCTGTTTCTATTAATTTCAATATCTGAAATTACTATTTATTGGTTGTCTTTTCCTTAAATATTACTAACATATTGATGTTTCTCCATATTACAAATAATTTTAGAGAAAATACAAGGATTGCCAAGGCTCTTCTATTTCTTACTCACATTTCCAAGATAAGCGGCCACATAGGGCCCCCCAGGAAACAACAGGATGGGCAGGAGACAAAGACAGAAGTTAGAAGAAAATCTAGGCCAAAGTGTTTTGGAAGGGTTTTGCTGGAAATGTGACAGGGCAGAACAAACAGTTTAGGATTGGCTAGTCTGAATAATTCCAGTAAACTCTAGTTGCCAGGCACCTGGTCCTGGAAAGAATTAAGAGTAGTGGTGATATTGGTGTGGTGTGTGAGAGATACTTAAGTTGTTTGGAGCTATCCAATCTGAAGTGATTGGTTTGCATAAAAAGATGTGCTCACAAGCTCTTTGCTCTCTCTTAAGAATTCACTAGCCCCAGGAGGGGCAGTCTCTTCTCCAGCTAGAAAGGGTTCTTAACATGTCAAAACATCATAATTTATAGAAAATAAAATATACATATGCAATGCAACATGAAAGTTGACCAGGCAGTTTTTGCCTTGAACATTCTCCATAATTGGTTTGAGTTTCTAATGCAAATTCATCATTCTGCAGATCAGCAAAGTTCACTTCAAAAACATGATGATTTCCAGGTATCAGATGCAATTTTGGCTCCTTGAGTCCTTGCGACTAGTGTTTTATCCAATATTTCCTATAATCACCATAACTGGTGCTTTCACATCATACCAATCTTTCTTAGAACATGCATGAACTGCTTTTATCTTGGCGGTATTTTCGCCACCTTTTTTAAGGTGCTTGTTCTTGCCAACACAGATAATACTTTCATATATTGTGTTATTTTGAATGAAATATGAGAAAAAAACCTTTATGTTATGCCCAATTCAAATAAGACTAGTATTTTCTATTCTGTGATAATTTTAAGAAAACTATGTTGAGAAATACGTCCCGTGTTCTTTTTTGACGGGTGTTCCTTTCATACAATTCATGATGTCTTTTGTGGGTAAATGTTTTAAGCTCTGTATGCATTCATGAATGCCCTTAACATTTCTTATATTCCTCATATATCTGATTTTATTTTCTCTCTTCATCTCAATTTTGGGGATTTATAAATAATATTGCTCTCATTTTTATGTTATTTTGATTGGTTGTTTATTTGTATTGTTTATCACACGTGTCTGACTGTTGTACATGTTCATCACCTTTTTTGGTCCTCTAATTAATTTTACTTTGGTCTCAATTCAATACTTTTTGCTGATAATTAGAATGCTTTTGGCAGAAAATGAAAAATACATGATTCAAAATTGCTTAGACACTAAGAAAAATGTACAATCTCTCTTGAGAGTTATTGAGAATTAGTGACCTTCAGGTTGATTCACTGATTCAATAATTTCATCAAAGCATCGTTCTTTTCATCTTTCGTTATTAGTGTTCAGTTCATGCCCAAATGCTATGAAGAAAGCAAGCACAGTTTCAACCACTGCAAATAGAATCAATAGCATCCTGACAGAGAAAATAAGTCATCCTTTCCTGTGACTTTCTTAGCATTTTATTGGCCAGAAATGTCACATATCCATTCAGCAACAAATTAGTGGAAAAGAAATAGAAATATCTCATAGTAATTCCAATGCTAAAGTTGTTAGTGAAGTCAGTTTTTCTGAAGTGTACAGTCAAGGAGGAGAGAGATAGCTGAAGCATCTGTTATTATGGTAAATTATTTGATGGAGTGGTAAAGAGGATGTTCTGTCTGCAATCAATGATATCAAACATATTTCATTTTTATATAATTATTTTACTATTCTCTTTCTCAGTTTTTTCTATTAAACGACAAATGCATCATCATTACCATCAATATTAAAATGTATTATTATTAGACTTGGTATGGTGGCTCACAATTATAATTTCAGCACTTTGGGAGGCAGAGGTGGGAGGATAGCTTGAGGCCAGGAGTTTGAGATCAGCCTGGTTAAAAATGCAAGACCCCTTCTCTACAAAACATTAAAAACTTAGCTGGCCACAGTGGCTTTCTCATATAGTCCCAGCTATTCAGGAGTCTGAGGAAAGAGGATTGCTTGAGCCCAGGAGTTTGAGGATACAGTGAGCTATGATCCAGCCTGTGTGACAGAATGAGATACCACCTCAAAAAAAAGAGTATTATTATTAAACAAACAAATATTTTTGTTGTTTGTTTCTAATGAGCACAGTTGTTTATGAAGTACATAGGTTTCATTTTATAATAATTTTTCATTAATCTGCAATACAAATTATGACTATAATTTGTACAAATGTTTGTTTTAAATATAATTATTTATGTTTATAAATACAACTTATGTGTATATATATAGTAAATATATATGTGTGTTTTTTATAACTACCTATTTTGCACAAATTCCTAGACATTGCATTACTTGTGTTTTGCAATAATTGTTTTACCTGTTTAATATTTTATAAATTAGGCCTATTTAAATTCTAATTTTTGAAATTATTACAATTCCCATGACCTAATACAACATGTAGTTTGTGTTAAGAATGTCCCTGGAAAGATTGAGCTGAAGGATTTGTTTCTCTTTTCTGAAAGACAATGAAAAATACGAAATATTGGTGATTAAAATGGGAATGCCTACTTTCTGTCCTATTTTGTCAAGGTTCTATGCTCTCCTCTAACCTAGTATAGATAAGTATGAATTATTATATTTGAAATAAATAAAATGGTGTTATGGTTTAAATGTGTCCCCCAAACTTCAAGTGTTGGAAACTTAATCCCCAATGTGGCAGTATTGAAAGGTGGGAACTTCAAAAGATGATTGGATCATGAGGGATCTGCCCTCATGAATGAATGAATTCTTTCTTGGATTAATGGATTAATGGGTTATTACGGGAGTGGAACTTGGAGCTTTATAACAAGAGGAAGACAAACCTGAGCTAGCATATTCAGGTTCCTTGCCATGTGATGCTCTGTGCCAACTTTGGAACTCTTCAGAGTCCCCACCAAGAAGAAGGCCTCTACCAGAAGTGCCCCTCAACCCTGGACTTCCTATCCTCCCTAACTGTAAGAAATAAATTCATTTTCTTTATAAATTTCCCTATCTTAAGTATTCTGTTATAGGCAACAGAAAATGGATTAATACAAATGGATTATCTGCAGACAGGAACTCAGCCCCTCCTAGCTTTGTAGTGCTGTAGATCTCCTGAGGAGAACAGTTTATTTGATTCACTGAGGATCTTCTCCTCCTATCTTCAGGACCCCCAGCATACTTAACAAGACATCCTTTAAAATTCTGAACTTTTTTTTTTTTTACTCCAGTTTGAGTCACAGGAAATTCTGGATGTTCTATTATGGCACTCTGAAGCCTGATACAACTAGAGCATAACTTGAAAATGATGAGTTTTCTCATAACTGACCTCCACTATTCTCCATGTTTTCACATTATACCACCATTTTAATATAGGTTGCTCTACCATCATATTTAGGGAGCATTTGCTACATACTTGTTGCATATCCTGGCCTCACCTGGAATCAAGGTGCCAACTGTATGTATTCTCAAGTTTATTGCCTTTAGAAGAGTTCCTTAGTGGTCTTAATGGTCTCTGACTCTCATACTCAGGTGAAATATTAACAGGAAATAGTATGCAAATGTTCATCATGTTCGTCTCTTACCCTTATTCTCTTTCTCTTTCTTTTCTTTACTTTTTTTTTTTTTTTTTTTTTTGAGAAACAGTCTCATTCTGTCCCTCAGGCTAAAGTGCAGTGGCGTGATCTTGGCTCACTGCAACCTTTACCTCCAGGGTTCGAGCGATTCTCATGCCTCAGCCTCCTGAGTAGCTGGGATTACAGGCACCTGCCACCATGTTGGCCAGGCTGGTCTCGAACTTCTGACCTCAGGTGATCCACCCACCTTGGCCTCCCAAAGTGCTATGATCACAGGCATGAGCCACAGCACCCAGCCTATTTCTCTAACTTTTGAGAATATTATTTACTAACAGTGCTAGGCATAATATCTTATTCTGCATATTAACATGCACATTGAATCATTTCTGTTTCAAACACAGATGGTTACTTTTGATCTCAGAATCTAAAATATGTGCCATTTTGCTTGCTGGATTTTGTGACAACAACACTCTTGGAAAAACTAAAATCCCATGTGCCACACTTATAACTGACTTACTCTAGGGAACAGTTAAAGAAGATAATAAAGAGGGAGCAAAAAAAGTCATATAATTATTCCATAACATTCTCTTTTATTTTAATCCAAATTTTAAAAGCAGGGGCCAATATTTAAGAAGATTTTAAAGTATATGATATCATCTGAATTGTTGCCTGCACAACATTCCTGCTGCCTCCCAAAATTATACCATCTGAACTACTCAGGAGGAGAGAAAGATTTTGAAAGGGAAAGGAGCACGCACATACACAGTACTTTTATATCTGTGTCTTGTTCCCTAACCTGAATCCTATAGCTGGATTTTGAGATGGTGGTAGAATCCTGCCAAAGTTTTACTCTCAGATAGGAAAATCCGAGAAACTTAGTAAATGGCAATTTTGGAGAAGAGTCAAATTTATTAGGGTTTCAGGGAAGATATGACTAAAGAAAGAACCCAAGCTCTGAATATAAAGGATACAGTAATTGAGAGTGGCAGGAGGCAGCCCAGTCAAATGCCCAGGAAGTTAGAGACAGGTCCGTGGTGAAACCCCACCTCCAAGCTGAAGAAAGTTTTAAGCCTAAAAGCCAAGCTACAGGTTAAATCCTGGGACCAGACTGAGAACTTCTCTTCCTGTTTCACACACTTTCCTCTGATTGATCCCCACCCTTCACCTATTTTACATATACCTACCCTTTCCTAATTGGTTTTCTACACTGTTGTGCCCAACTTTGAGTGGTATCTTTATTTTAATCTTTTTTGCATACTCACAAACCAATAAGCACACACTTCCCATTCTGAGCCCATACGAGGCCCCGGACCCAGCCACACAGGAGACTTTCCCACCTTTGGGTAGGGGAACCACTTGCCCACACCCCCTTTCCACTGAGTGTTTTCCTTTTGTTTAATAAATTCTACTCCACTCACTCTCCAGTTTCCGTGTGCCTAATTCTTCCTGGTCATGAAACAAGAACTTGGACCTCGCTGAGTTAAGGAGCAGGAAGACTGCTACACAATTACAATGCCTATGGGACATTCGGATTGTAATGAAAATCAAGACCAGAACCTAAACATGTGAGAACCAGATTTCAAAGAAAGTTAAAAAAGTAGCATTAGAAAAGCCTTTTACACCACAATGTCCAGATGGAGTCTGTAAGACTTGAGATGGTGGTATCCGGTGAATATGCTCAAAAACATTTAAACTCTGAACCAATTGAACCCTTTGGCTCTATTGAGGTGGCATCTTCACCTTGCTAGAGGGTAGAACATCACTTTCATGCATAAAGAATGTGCAATTTAAACTGAGCCCAGGTCTTAAAACTAAAATATAACAGCCTCGAGACACTACCTCCCCTCATGGCCAAAAATGAAGTCAATAATTAACATTGAGTCTTATCATGACCTGACTTGGGAAAAGTGGGTTCTAATAACCTACCCTGGAATATTCTAAAAGGTTCTTTTTGCCCCCAAACTGTGTCAGCATTTCCTTCCAAGACCCTAAATAAAGCAGTGGTTAAAATTTTTATCCTGAAGAACTTTAACATCTTAAGAGACTGATTATGATATTAAATAGAAAAATGTACAGAGCTCAGTATTAAGGCTTCATCCTTGAGTGAGTCATATTGTCTGATCTCAGGACTTACCTTGCAGAGATGAGCCAATAAATGTCAAATCAGCATTATTCTGAAGTCAACCATTTCACTCTACATATTCACTTTGTTATTCATTGTTTTTTTACCTTCACTTCAATATAAACTTCATGAGAGTTATTTTGTATGTTTTTTGTCTTAAAAACTCAAAAATTCAATAACCAATCATTAAATATATTATTTATTAAATCTCTTTTTGAGTATTTCATTGGCTTCTTTGAATAGCCATGTTCTAAAATTGAGTCCAAGACCTTTTCCTTCATGCACACACATACATTTCCTTCTTCTTGTGTTCTTTGATTCAGTAAAGAGTAGCAGTTCCTCCAAGTTGATAATACTCAAAAGTAACAATTTCAAAATCTCCTTGTTTCTAAATTTGGATGATGAACAGTGAATAATGTTACCCTCCCAATTTAAAACCCTTCAAATACAGTCCAAGATTATTATATATGCTTTTTTGTGGTATATCCTTGGCTATCTTATATAAACTCATTTTCTGACTATTGCCTTTTTCTCTGTAGGATTCACCTTTTTAAAATCTATTTCTAGTCTTTGAATCAATAGTTTCATCCTGTTCCCAATATTCCTTTATGTTATATCCTCTCTCTAGAAAGCATCTGCCTCCTTCCTATGCCAAATCTTTCTTCATTAAATCCCAGTTTATTCTTCTGGTTTAAGATTAAAAAGTCACTTCATCATTGCCCAATTGAAAGTATGTGAATAATTATATGTAAACTTCTGTTTTTATATCTGTTTTCTACAGTTTAATAAGAAATGGAAAGTTTCTGTCTTTTTTTAAATCTATTCTGAGCATTAAGTACAGTATGTAGGAAATGTTCAACAGTCTTTTATATTTTTGTTACTAATTAAGAGAAAAAGTGAGTTGGAAGTTCTAAATTATTCACCTTTGACAACTGTATTTATTAAATTAAATTCATTGTTCTCTATAGTCACCTCATTTTTTACATTAATTTAAGATTACTTAGATGTATCAGTCTTTGTTTTCTAGAATAATGTACTTACAACGTTATCTCTGATCTTTAACCTAAAACACATGATGTAAAATATCTTGCAAATTAAGTATGTAATATCTTGATATGGGTAGGGGGAACTGAGAGAACAATAAACTATACTTCTGCAATGCTTATAAACCTTTGAAAAAATATAAAACTATGTGAGAAAAATGTGTACTAGCTGAGTAAAGAAAACATGAACGTTTGTATATGTCTTCAGAGAAAAAAGGTTCACTATGTTTTGGGCAGTAAGGTAACTATATGAAAGAATAAGGCTATAAACAAAATTCATGCTTAGACATTTGCTCATGAGGACTCTGAAGGAGAACATAGAATTGTGAGGTCATTTTGTAAACATTTTAACACAATATAAAGTGACTTAAAATTTTAGTCATTAAAATTAATCTCATTTAGTTATTATGTGACAAGCTAAAGATATTAACGAATACTGATTATGGTCCTTTACCTGGAAATATGTGCCATCTTTGCTTACTAACATATGGCTGAGACATAAAAGTAATCACACTTAAAGGGTTAGAGACAAATATCTTTTGTAGTAAGATATTAATTATTGCCATAGTTCAGACAATTTTACAACTTCGGTTTAACATGAAAAATGCTGATTCATGAATATTTTACAGTATTCAGAGTAATACAAAGCAAGTCTTTCCAGACCACTGTAAATCTACAGTGAAAGATTTTAAGATCTGATGTGGAAAAACTGAAAAGAATATTTATGGTGGACTGTCATAATTTCATAACTCAGAAAAGAAATACGATAGCTTTAACAGTCATCTTTTTATTTTACTAAATCACATTATGTCTTAATCAATTATGATTTTAGACCTTATCACACTCTGACATGTATTGTGATTAGATGTATATGTGTTCTCACTGAGAAAATTGTTAACAACTTGAGGAATTGAATTGTATCATACTCATTTTTCACGACACAGAATACTTTGTGTATTGAAGGGACTCAGTACATTTTGAGTATTTAAATATGGCCAAAACTTGTAGAACTAATAACATTTCAAGATGTAATTAAGTGTTATAAAATTTCTGAGTTTAAAATAATGCCATAACAATAGCAGTGCCTCATTTTCTCTGAATTCGTCAAAAATGAGAGGAATATGAACAGTAATTTCATCTTCAAGGGAAGTAGGCCAAGCTCTTATTCTGAACATTAGAATATAATGAAAAATGCCAAGTTCAATGAAGAAAAATGCACTTTGTAATAAGAGATGATGAAGGGTAGACACCTATGTTTTAGAAATAATAAAATGGCGGTGGGGCGGAGGGTGAAGTAAGTTCTCCAAAGTAGGTGACACACCCTGAAAACAAAAAGTGAACAAAAACAACAGATCTGTCTGTTGTTTGAACAGATAGATCGGAATGAATGGACCTGATTCATTTCATATTACTCTGAAGTAACAGAGAACAGCAGAAGAAGAGGATTAAGAGTTATCCATATGTATGAGAAGCTATTTTGCTGATATTTTTCATCAGCAGATAGTAGAGGCAAAATCAACACACACACACACACACACACACGCATACATGCACACACACACACACCCATCAACACACTTTTTATTTATGGAGATCACCTGCCTATTCAGGAACATTCTGCTGACTCCTCTCAGAATATATTCGTTTACAAATAACTCAGGAAAAAAGATCCTCTTTGGAATATGAATAATACAAAAGTAGGACAGTTTAAAAGAAGGTGTAAAATAAAGAAGAAAATTAACAAGAAGTAAATAAACAGTATAATTTTAAAAATGACCATACATTTGGTGACCAGAGGTTTTCTCTGAAAATGTGACCAGAGGTTTTCTCTGAAATCCAAAGCCTAGTAAATAAATATTGCATTTTAATTCTGATTTTACTTACAATATATAAGAAAGAAAGAAAATTACAGAACTAGGTAAAACATCAACTGGCATGTATAAGGAAAGCAAGGAATAAGAAAAAATAACTTATTAGAAGTCACAGAAAAAAGGGAGTAGGAAGGGTAGGGACATCTAAAAATGCAATTGTAGATATACATTCATGTGAAAGAATCTTGGGGAATGTGGACAAAAAAATGAATGAAGATGAATTATAAATGATTAAAAAATTGTAGAACAAAGACAAATTGGAAAATCGAGATTCAATACATATATAACTAAAGGTATTTTGAGAAGACAGAACAGGAAGCAAGGTAAATATGTAAAAACTTAATTTCTAAAATTTTACTAAAATGATCTAAAGGAAACATAATTCTCTTGCCCTTGATACGGCCATACACATATAGCTGGAAAACCCCCTGGATGTTGTTTGACCCATGTAAGTATTAGAGACCATATGCTGGGAGATTCCAGATATTCCATAAATTTCTTTTTCTTTAAAAATTATTTTATTAATATAACATAACTTCAAACTCTTCAGGTAAGTACAACCTTGTATAAATATATTATTGATTGTGAACCTATTGAAACATATCCTAAATTATTTGTAAAATACTTTAAAATGCAATTAAACATCTTTAAAGGATTCAAGAAATATGTTAATTGAAACAAATTAAACCATGATGATATAGAAATACATATAATGTCTTTATACGAACATATACACGTGCATTTTTATTTTTTAAAGTGGGTGAGTAGATGAGGAACAACAGAAGACACTGGCATGTTGAATTGAATTTTTTTGTAATCAATAGAATTGATTTTTTGAGCAATTTTATGTTTGGAAGACAATGAGCAAAAGTATGTTCCTTTACACCATTTTTCTCTTCCCTGTTTCCTCTTTTATTAGATCATGCTTAAGTGTGGTGAATTTGCTACAATTGATGAGCCAATATTGATACATTATTGTTAACTAAAGTCCATGGTTCACTGTTTTGTACATTTTATGGGGTTTGACAAACTATAAGGACATGTATCCACCATTACAAATTATACAAAGTAGTTCATTGCCCTAAAAATTCCCTGTGCTTCACTTATCCAGCACTTCCTTATTCTCTCTCATCCCCTCACTCCAACCCTTGGCAGCCACTGATATTTTTACCATCTCTACTTGGCAGTATGCATTTAAGGTTACTCCATGTCTTTTTTGTGGTTTGTTTTATTTTTATTTTATTACTAAATAATAACCTATACTATGGATGTATCTAAGTTAATGTACCCATTCACATAGTGAAGGACATTTTGGTTACTTCCAAGTTTTGGCATTATGAATAAATCTACTATAAACATTCATGTTCAATTTTTGCATGGACATAAGTTTTCAACTCATTTGAGTAAATGCCAGGGAAAGTGGTTGCTGGATATGGTAAGAATATATTTAGTGTTGTAACTGACAAACTCTATTCTTAAGTGGCTATATCATTTTGCATTCCCACCAGCATTAACTAAGAGCTGCTTACTTATTCCTGTTGGTATGTTAGTGTATATTTTCCAATAAGTGAAAATTCAGATATGAGTGCAGGTTCAAATGTATTATATGTAAAAGAATAAAGAATTCAGAAATAATTTTTGTGTTTTCTCTCTGTGTGTGTGTGTGCAAGGCAGTGAAACATAATGCATAGCAAAAATGAGGATGAACTATATTATAAGAATACAGATACAAGTAAAATCATTAGAAGAACTAAATACAGGCTATAAAATAAAAAAGCCTACAGATAGAAATAGCCAAAAATTAAAGAATAAAAAAATGAGGAAGAGACAGATAAAGTAAAATCATTAGAAGAACTAAATACAGACTATAAAATAAAAAAGCCTACTGATATAAATAGCCAAAAATTAAAGAATAAAAAGATGAGGAAGAGACAGAGAAAGAAGAGGAAAAGCATTTACAATTTAAACTACACTTTTAGCATCATTAGCTATGTTCAACTGCATTCAACTTTGGGAGTAATATAACTCCCAAATCTTTTTAACTCAAAATGACAAAATGTTGTTTTTACTCACACTCTGTATGCATCATGAACTGGCTTTTACTTACCCCTACATAGTCTTGCACTTGGAACTTATACTGGTTAAGCATTTAAGTCATTTAAACAAACTAAAATATTTAAATAGATTAGAAAAGGAATACAATACAATAAAATTAAGTGAACCAGGAAGAAAGTGGTGTTGACTGTATATATATTTTTAAGTGCTGAATTAAGTTAAAAGAAAATCTGTAGATTTATAAATAATTTTAGAGCTGATATTTCAATAATGATTTATAAACAAAACAAATTAAACAATTGTTTATATCAGGAAAATTATTTAAATTAATGAATGTCTTAGTGATCTGGGGCTACAATAACAAATTACCGTAAATTAGGTGGCTTAGAAAACAAACACTTATTACTCACAATTTTGGAGGCTGGAAAGTCCAAGATGAGGGTGCTGGGTAATTGGTTCCCGGTGAGGGCTCTCTTTCTGGTTTGCAGAAAGCCATCTCCTAAATTGTATAAACTTTCCTTTTTATATGTTATTAAACTTTTGTTCATCTCAGTGTAAATTATTTGTTTTTATTTTCTTGTGCATTTTGTCTAAAAATTTATTTTATTGGTTAACCACCTCCGTGGTAAACAGAGAGACACAGAGGAAGAGATGCAATCTCTGGGATCTCTAGAAGGACACTAATAAAAGACTCCATCTCCAAATACCATCACACTGGGGATGAGGGATTAAACATATGAATTGTAGGGGAACACGAACAGTACTAAGTCCTTAGCAATAAATCAAGAGATTAAAAAGTGTTACTATCAAGATGTTTAGTGGAAACTAAGAAAAAATTTGCTTATTTTTAAAAAATGATTGAAATAAAAGGAACAAACAGGAAAAGAAAATCAAAGTACACAAAACACTAAATACAAAACCAAGGAAAAAATAGACACTTACCTATTCCCAAATAAATAGTTTTGAATTATAAAATGTGGAAATGATTTTTACAGTTTTTCAAATTATACTTTAAGTTCTGGGACACTTGTAGAACATGCAGGATTGTTACACAGGTAAACACGTGCTATGGTGGTTTGCTGCACCCATCAACCCGTCATCTACATTAGGTATTTCTCCTAATGCTATCCTTCCCCTAGTCCGCCACCCCTCAACAGGCCTCAGTGTGTAATATTCCCCTCCCTGTGTCCATGTATTCTCATTGTTCAACTCCCACTTATGAGTGAGAACATGTGGTGTTTGGTTTTCTGGTCCTGTGTTAGTATGCTGAGAATGATGGTTTACAGTTTCATCCATGTGCCTGCAAAGTACATGAACTCATCCTTTTTTATGGTTGCATAGTATTCCATGGTGTGTATGTGCCACATTTTCTTAATCTAGTCTATCATTGATGGATATTTGGGTTGGTTCCAAGTCTCTGCTGTCGTGGATAGTGCTGCAATAAATATACATGTGCATGTGTCTTTACAGTAGAATGATTTATAATCCTTTGGCTATATACCCAGTAATGGGATTGCTGGGTCAGATGGTATTTCCAGTTCTAGATCTTTGAGGAATCACCATAATGTCTTCCAAAATGGTTGAACTAATTTACACTCCCACCAACTGTGTAAAAGCTTTCCTATTTCTCCACATCCTCTCCAGCATCTGTTTGCTGACTTTTTAATGATCGCCATTCTAACTGGGGTGAGATGGTATCTCATTGTGGTTTTGATTTGCATTTCTCTAATGACCAGTGATGATGAGCTTTTTTTCATATGTTTGTTGGCAGCATAAATGTCTTCTTTTGAGAAGTATCTGTTGATATCCTTCGCCCACTATTTGATGGGGTTGTTTTTTTCTTGTAAATTTGTTTAAGTTCCTTGTAGATTCTGGATATTAGCTCTTTGTCAGATGGATAGATTGCAAAACTTTTCTTCCATTCTATAGGTTGCCTGTTAATCCTAATAATAGTTTCTTTTGCTGTGTAGAAGCTCTTTAGTTTAATTAGATCCCATTTGTCAATTTTGGCTTTTGTTGCAATTGCTTTTGGTGTTTTACTCATGAAGTCTTTGCCCATGCCTATGTCCTGAATGGTATTGCCTAGGTTTTCTTCTAGGGTTTTTATGGTTTTAGGTCTTACATTTAAGTCTTTAATCCATCTTAATTTTTGTATAAGGCATAAGGAAGGAGTTTCAGTTTTCTGCATATGGCTAGCCATTTTTCCCAACACCATTATTAAATAAGAAATCCTTTCCCCAATTGCTTGTTTTTGTTAGGTTTGTCAAAGATCAGATGGTTGTAATGTGTAGTGTTATTTCTGAGGCCTCTGTTCTGTTCCCTTGGTCTACATATGTGTTTTGGTACCAGTACCATGCTGTTTTGGTTACTGTAGCCTTGTAATATCGTTTGATGTCAGGTAGCGTGATGCCTCCAGCTTTGTTTTTTTGTTTGTTTGTTTTTGTTTTGCTTAGGATTGTCTTGGCTATACAGGCTCTTTTTTTTGTTGTTGTTCCACATGAAATTTAAAGTAGATTTTTCTAATTCTGTGAAGAAAGTCAATGGTAGCTTGATGGGTATAGCACTGAATCTACAAATTACTTTGGGCAGTATGGCCATTTTCACAACATTGATTCTTCCTATCCATTAGCATGGAATGTTTTTCCATTTGTATGTGTCCTCTCTTATTTCCTTGAGCAGTAGTTTGTAGTTCTCCTTGAAGAGATCCTTCACATCCCTTGTAAGTTGGATTCCTAGGTATTTTATTGTCTTTGTAGCAATTGTGAATGTGAGTTTGCTCATGATTTGGCTCTCTGTTTGTCTATTATTGGTGTATAGGAATGCTTGTGATTTTTGCACATGGATTTTTTATCCTGAGACTTTCCTGAAGTTGCTTATCAGCTTAAGGAGATTTTGGGCTGAGACCATGAGGTTTTCTAAATACACACTCATGTCATCTGCAAACAGAGACTATTTGACTTCCTCTCTTCCTAATTGAATACCCTTTATTTATTTATCTTGTCTGATTGCCTTGGCCAGAACTTCCAATACTATGTTGAATGGGAGTGGTGAGAGAAAGAATCGTTGTCTTGTGCTGATTTTCAAAGGGAATGCTTCCAGCTTTTGCCCATTCAGTATGATATTGGCTGTGGGTTTGTCATAAGTAGCTGTTATTATTTTGAGATACGTTCCATCAATACTTAGTTTATTGAGGGTTTTTAGCATAAAGGGGTGTTGAATTATATCGAAGGCCTTTTGTGCTTCTATTCAGCTAAACATGTGGTTTTTGTCATTGGTTCTGTTGATGTGATGGATTACATTGAATGATTTGCGTATGTTGAACCAGACTTGCATCCCAGGGTGGAAGCTGACTTGATTGTGGTGGATAAGCTTTTTCATATGCTGCTGGATTTGGTTTGCCAGTATTCTATTGAGGATTTTTGCATTAATGTTCATCAGGGATATTGACCTGAAATTTTCAATTTTCTTTCTTTCTTTTTTTTTTTTTTTTGTGACTCTGCCAGGTTTTGGTATCAGGGTGATGCTGGCCTCATGAAATGAATTAGGGAGGATTCCCTTTTTTTCTATTGTTTGGAATAGTTTCTGAAGGAATGGTACCAGCTCCTCTTTGCACCTCTGGTAGAATTAGGCTGTGAATCCATCTGGTCCTGGACTTTTTTTGGTTGTTAGGCTATTAATTGCTGCCTCAGTTTCAGAACTCATTATTGATCTATTCAGGGATTTGACTTCTTCCTGGTTTAGTCTTGGGGGGCGGGGTGTATGTGTCCAGGAATTTATCCATTTCTTCTAGATTGTCTAATTTATATGCATAGATGTGTTTATAGTATTCTCTGATAGTAGTTTGTATTTCTGTGGAATCAATGGTGATCTCCCTTTTATCATCTTTTATTGTATCTATTTGATTCCTCTCTCTTTTCTTCTTTAATAGTCTGGCTAGTGGTCTATCTATTTTGTTAATCTTTTCAAAAAACCAGCTCCTGGATTCATTGACTTTTTGAAGGTTTTTTTGTGGCTCTATCTCCTTCAATTCTGCTCTGATCTCAGTTATTACTTGTCTTTTGCTAGCTTTTGAATTTGTTTGCTCTTGTTTTTCTAGTTCTTTTAATTGGGATGTTAGGGTGTTGATTTTAGATCTTTCCCACTTTCTTCTGTGGGCATTTAGTGCCATAAATTTCACTCTAAACACTGCTTTAGCTGTGTGCTAGAGATCCTGGTACATTGTGTCTTTGTTCCCATTGGTTTCAAAGAACTTACTTATTTCTGCTTTAATTTTGTTATTTACCCAGTAGTCATTCAGGAGCAGGTTGTTCAGTTTCCATGTAGTTGTGTGGTTTTTAGTGAGTTTCTTAATGCCAAGTTCTAATTTGATTGCACTATGGTCTGAGAGACTGTTATGATTTCCTTTCTTTTGTATTTGCTGAGTGGTGTTTTACTTCCAATTATGTGGTCAATTTTAGAGTAAGTGTAATGTGGTGCTGAGAAGAATGTATATTCTGTTTATTTGGGGTGGAAAGTTCTGTAGATGTCTACTAGATCCACTTGTTCCAGAGCTGAGATCAAGTCCTAAATATCCTTAATTTTCTGTCTTGTTGATCTGTCTAATATTGACAGTGGGGTGTTAAAGTCTCCCATTATTATTGTGTGCGAGTCTAAGTCTATTTGTAGGTCTCTAAGAACTTGCTTTATGAATCTTGCTTTATGCTTTGCTCCTGTATTGGATGCATATATATTTCATTTTATATATAGTATATATATTAGTTATATATAGTATATATATATATACTATTATAGTAATATGTAGTATATATATATTAGTTATATACAGTATATATATGTATGTAGTGCATATATATTTAGTTAGCTCTTCTTGTTTCATCGATCCCTTTACCATTATGTAATGACCTTCTTTGTCCTTTTTGATCTTTGGTGGTTTAAAGTCTACTTTATCAGAGACTAGGAATGCAACCCCTGCTTTTTTTTGCTTTCCATTTGCTTGATAAATATTCCTCCATCCCTTTCTTTTAAGCCTACGTATGTCTTTGCACATGAAATGGGTCTCCTGAATACAGCACAGCAATGGGTCTTGACTGTTTATCCAATTTGCCAGTCTGTGTTTCTTTTCATTGGGGCATTTAGCCCATTTATATTTAAGGTTAATATTGTTATGTGTGCATTTGATTCTGTTATTATGACGCTAGCTGGTTATTTTGCCTGTTAGTTGATGCAGTTTTTTCATAGTGTCAATGGACTTTACAATTTGGTGTGTTTTTTGCAGTGGCTAGTACTGGTTTTTCATTTACATATTTAGTGCTTCCTTCAAGAGCTCTTGTAACGCAGGCCTGGTGGTGACAAAATCTCTCAGCACTTGCTTGTCTGTAAAGGATTCTATTTCCCCTTCACTTATAAAGCTTAGTTTGGCTGGATATGAAATTCTAGGTTGAAAATTTTTTGTTTTTTTGTTTGTTTGTTTGAGATGGAGTCTCACTCTGTCACTGAGCTGGAGTGCAGTGGCATGATCTCAGCTCAGTGCAACCTCTGCCTCCCTGGTTCAAGCAATTCTCCTGCCTCAGCCTCCTGAGTAGCTGGGACTACAGGTGTGTACCACCACACCTAGATAATTTTTGTATTTTTAGTAGAGACGGGGTTTCACCATGTTGTGCAGGGTAGTCTTGATCTCTTGACCTCAAGATCCCCCCGCCTTGGCCTCCCAAAGTGCTGGGATTACAGGCATGAGTCACCACCCCATCTGAAAATTCTTTTTTTTAATAATGTTGAATATTGGCCCGCACTCTCTTCTGGCCTGTAGGGTTTCTGCAGAGAGATCCGCTGTTAGTCTGATGGGCTTCCCTTTTCTGGGTAACCCGAACTTTCTCTTTGGCTGACTTTAAGATTTTTTACGTCATTTCAACCTTGGTGAATCTGACAATTATGTGTCCTGGGGTTGCTCTTCTCAAGGAGTATCTTTGTAACGTTCTCTGTATGTCCTGAATTTGAATGTTGGCCTGTCTTGCTAGGTTGGGGAAGTTCTCCTGGATAATATCCTGAAGAGTGTTTTCCAACTTGGTTCCATTCTCCCCATCACTTTCAGGTAGGTTTGGTCTTTTAACATAGTCCCATATTTCTTGGAGGCTTTGTTCCTTTTCATTCTTTTTTCTCTAATCTTGTCTTCACACTTTATTTCATTAAGTTTATCTTCAATCTCTGATATCCTCTCCTCCACTTGATCAATTCAGCTATCAATACTTGTGTATGCTTCATGAAGTTCTTGTGCTGTGTTTTTCAGCTCCATCAGGTCATTTATGTTCTTCTCTAAACTGGTTATTCTAGTTTGCAATTCCTCTAACCTTTTTTTCAAGGTTCTTAGCTTCCTCGCATTGGGTTAGAACACACTCCTTTAGCTCACAGGAGTTCGTTATTACCCACCTTCTGAAGCCTACTTCTGTCAATTTGTCAAACTCATTCTCCATCTAGTTTTGTTCCCTTGCTAGCCAGGAGTTGTGATCCTTTGGAGGAGAAGAGGCCTTTCGGCTTTTGGAATTTTCAGCCTTTTTGCGCTCGCTGGTTTTTCCTTATCTTTGTGGATTTATCTACCTTTGGTCTTTGATGTTAGTGACCTTTGGATAGGGTTTTTGTGTGGACGCCCTTTTTGTTGATGTTGATGCCCTTCCTTTCTGTTTGTTAATTTTCTTCTAGCAGTCAGGCCCCTCTGCTGCAGGTCTGCTAGAGTTTGCTGGAGGTCCACTCCACACCCTGTTTGCCTGGGTATCACCAGTGGAGGCTGCAGAACAACAAAATTGCTACCAGTTCCTTCCTCTGGTAGCTTTGTTCCAGAGGGGAGCCTGCCAGATGCCAGCTGGAGCACGCCCGTATGAAGTGTCTGTCGACCCTTGCTGGGAGGTGTCTCCCAACCCTTGCTGGGAGGTGTCTCCCAGTCAGGAGGCATGGGGGTCAGAGACCCACTTGAGGAGGGAGTCTGTCCCTTAGGAGAGCTAGAGTGCTGTGCTGGGAGATCCGCTGTTCTCTTCAGAGCCAGCAGGCAGGAATGTATAAGTCTGCTGAAGCTGCGCCCACAGCTGCCCCTTACCCCAGGTGCTCTGACCCAGGGAGATGGGAATTTGATCTACAAGCCCTTGACTGGGGCTGCTGCGTTTCTTTCAGAGATGTGAATTCTTCCCAGAGAGGAGCACTCTAGAGAGGCAGTCTGGCTACAGTGGCTTTGCTGAACTGCAGTGTGCTCTGCCGAGTTCAAACTTCTGGCAGCTTTGTTTACACTGTAAGGGGAAAACGGCCTACTCAAAGCCTCAGTAATGGCAGACGCCCCTCCCCGCCACTAAGCTGGAGCATCCCAGGTCGACTTCAGACTGCTGTGCTGGCAGCAAGAATTTCAAGGCAGTGGATCTTAGCTTGCTGGGCTCCGTGGGGGTGGGATCCACTGAGCTAGATCACTTGGCTCCCTGGCTTTGACCAAGGAATGCACCGTTCCTCATGGCACAGTCCCTCAGGGCCTCCATTGGCTATGGGAGGGAGTTCCCTGACCCCTTGTGCCTCCTGGGTGAGGTGATGCCCTACCCTGCTTCAGCTCGCCCTCTGTGGGCTGCACCCACTGTCTAACCAGTCCCAGTGAGATGACCTGGGTACCTCAGTTGGAAATGCAGAAACCAGCCACCTTCTGTGTTGGATCTTGCTGGGAGCTGCAGACCAGAGCTGTTCCCTTTTGGCCATCTTGCTAGCCACCTTCTGGTTTTTACATTTTATTAAACTATTGTTTATTTCTTAGTATAAATTCTGTTATTATTTTCTTATGCATTTTGTCTTAAAATTTATTTTTTTATTTTTAAATTTAATTATTCTTGCTTTTGGTGAAATTATATGCTAATTTATTTCTTTGCTTCCTTCTATGTAACTTTATTTTTAATAATTTTTCTATATGATATATTGCTGGATCTTGTATACTCATCTTGCAATTGCTTTTTTGTGTGAGTTTAGACAGTTTTTCTATTTATTAAGCCACTAATTAAGAAATACATAACTCTTCATTTGTTTAGATGTTTAGTTTCTCTATAATATTAGTGTATTTATTGCTACAGAGCTTGGAAATCTTTTGTTAGATACATTTCTATATATTTCACTTTTGTTCCTTAGTTAAAGCAGTAATTATTTATGCAAGTATTTGTTGTAAGAGTTTTATGTTAATATATTGCAGACATTTCACTGCATCTCTACATAAACATATTATCTTTGAAAAACATAGCTTCATTTATTTCATTCCAATCTTCATAATTTTTTTCCTTGTCTTATTGCAGTTGGTAGGTTTTCCAATAAGTAATTCAGTGGAATTTTGAAAGAAGATCTTTCTGTTTGCAGTCTTTGTGAAAAAGTCCTTAATTCCTAAACCTTAAGTATCATAATAGCAGTAACTCTTTCAAACATGCTCTTTTAAGAAGTTCTCTTTGCTATGAATAGGTGTTACATTTTGTCTAGTAATTTTCTTTTGCATCAATAGAGATGATCGTGTTTCGTTTTCATGCTTAACTGTCAGGAATTATTTTTATTGTTTTAAAAATGGTAAACAAAACTTGCAATTCTCAGGTAAAGCCCTCTCATGATGTATGATTTCTTTTTATGTTGGCAAATCTAGTTTCTAATATTTTATAATAAATTATTATGTCATGGTTCGTGGGGTATATTCTTCCATAAGTCTCCTGTCTTGAAATTACTTTGTCAGTTGTTGAAATCACATTTATGCTTGTCTCATAATGTGATTGTGAAGTTGTTTCTCCTCTTAAACTTTACATAGCATTGGCCTTATTTCTTCCTGAAAAGTTTGAAAAGTTCACTGGAAAAGAATGAAGTGGTTTATTGTTTTGTTTGTTTTACTATTTAATAGTTTTAATAGATGCGGGGTATGAGGGTGTTTTATTTCTATTTTGTCACAATCAGATCATTGTTAGGTCACTATGGATAATAGTGTTGTTTGCATGTTTTGTATGCATGTTCACTATTTTACCTAGTTGTTCAGCAAATACATAGAGATTAGGATTGTGGCTCTACTTCTTACATTCACTTCTGACAACAATTTTTTCTGACTTTTTAAGCTATATTATCAGGGATATCTATCTGTCTATCTATGATTGTTATATATCCTTGATGAATTAAATCATTAATTATTGCACAATGCCTGATTTTGATTTTTTTAGCAGTGCTCTTTATTCGAAGTCCTTCTTTCTGACATTAATGTTGTCACATCCAGATTTTTGTACATAATATTTGCATGAAATATCTTTTCTCAACCCACTATTTTCAATTTATCTGTCTTTAAATTTAAGTGTTTTTATTGTAAAGAGCAGATAGGTGTGTGCTTATACTTCTTTACACTTGACAGTTTCTTGCTTTAATCAATTTTACTTATTTGCATTAATGTAATTCTTTGAATAGTGTATTTGTTTATCACATTGGCCATTTTTTCCTATTTGACATTTGTTCTTCCGACCTTATTTTTTCCTCTTTTGGATAGATCATACATTTTTAGTAAAAAAAAATAAATAAATGAATCTCAATAAAAAGTTGTAAAACTCTAATAAATTTAGCAAACTAAATAAAATTCAGAAATTATTTTCTACCCTTTGAGCTCTTTTATTTATTTTGCTTCTACATATGCATTTTATATGTTATACACCCTGAATCGATTATGTTTATATTTGCTTTGAATACAAAAAAGCTTGTTTTTACTTTTAAATTTAAACCTATGTAAATATATGTATATGTGCATCTATATGGTTTCATTTAATTATTCTACACACTTTGTGTAAGATATATTTGATATAATTCCCCTCAGCCTGAAGATATTTTTATGAGGGAGGAGCCCTCTCTGTCCTATTATCTTGCTCTCATGTTAAGGATGATGGAAAAACTGTTGGTAAAAACACATGGGAAAAATTTATTTTGTGGTGACTTGCTCTGTGGTTAGATTTTATCAGAATTTTATTCTTTCATGCCATCTCATGATTACATTTAGTTTCTCCTATTTAGATTTTTCTGATTTCTCCACCTAGTTTTTCACCAGGGACAAGAACACTGTGATATGTTCTCTCATATCAAGGACTATCCCTTTTGCAATTTAGTTTATTTATGAGCTTTTGAATCCTAAATCTCTCCTCGGTAAAAATAAATAAATAAAACAACATGATTCTATAGCTTATATAGCTTGTTTTGGTTTTCATAGTGAAAGATTTAGATTCTGATAATGTTTTTCTATCCTTACTGGAGAGGGGAGACTCATGAATATTTTAGATTAAAAGTAGACTTTGTGGCCGGGCGCGGTGGCTCACGCCTGTAATCTCAGCACTTTGGGAGGCTTGGGCAGGCGGATCACGAGGTGAAGAGATCCAGACCATCCTGGCTAACACTCTACTAAAAATAAAAAAAATTAGCCGGACATGGTGGCAGGTGCCTGTAGTCCCAGCTACTCTGGAGCCTGAGGCAAGAGAATGGCGTGAACTCGGGAGGCGGAGCTTTCAGTGAGCCGAGATCGTGCCACTGCACTCCAGCCTGGGCGACAGAGCGAGACTCCGTCCCCCTCCCCCTCCAAAAAAACTTCGTTTTATATATGCACACACATTTTTTCCAATTTGATATATATTTCTTCTTACTACTATTACTCCCCCAATTTTCAAAGATTTTAATGTAGTAAACCTTCTGAGGTTTTATGTGCCTTGATCATATCTTTATTGTGCCCTTACACAGAAAAGAATACAAAATCATTGAAATTTTCTGTAACCTATCTTAAGTCTGAAGGTTCTGATTATTTGACTAAATGTGCCTTGTGCATGTGCTTTCTGGGAACACGGATGGAACTAAAGGCTATTATCTTCAGCAAACTAATACTGGAACAGAAAACCAAATACTGCATGTTTTCACTTATAAGTGGCAGCTCAATATGAGAACTTATGAACATAACGAAGGAAACAACAGACATTGGGGTCTACTTGAGGGTGGAGTGTGGGAGGAGGGTGAGGATCAGAAAAGATAACTGTTGGGTACTGGGTGATGAAATAATCTGTACAACAAACCCCTGTAACGTGAGTTTACCTATACAACAAATATTCACATGTACCCCTGAACCTAAAAAAAACCATTTTTTTAAAACAAAAGGGGTATCTGCAAAATAGTAGTTACACAAAAAAGTGTCTATATGGAAAGAGACAAAAGAATGACCACTTACAAATATCAGAAGGTGACAGAAAATTACAACACATAAAGAAGGACATACCCAAAAGAGCATGCTTTTCTTTACTACAAAAGAAGCAATACAGGCTGTACTCCATTAGAACTTCATAGCTGTAGTTACATTTCAAAAAATAAAGTGATGAGGCTGAATATGAAGTAACATTGATTCACTATATTTTTCAGAAGTTGGTTTGCCTTGTAGTAACTACAGAATAGAAAGGCTGCGTTATGCTGAGCATATGGAAATATTACTCTAATTTCCAGATACGGCTATCAGAAAGTGACAAGTGTCTAAATTAATCCCTTGACTCAAGCAAGTAGAAAACAAGAAAAAAAATGCGTTTGTGGTCATATATTAGACAACATTCAGTGTGATACTTGAGACAAGGGAAGCAATTGGAAGTGAGTCCTGGCTTCTGCTAGAGGGATATTTTGTCAAGAGGAACATAAAAACGGAATCTTCAACCAAGCTTGTCCAACCTGCGGCGTGTGGGCCGCATGCAGTCCAGAACGGCTTTGAGTGCAGCCTCCACACAAATTAATATACTTTCTTAAAATATTATGAGTTTTTTTGTGATTTTATTTTTTAGTTCATCAGCTATTATTCGTGTTAGTGCATTATATATGTGGCCCAAGACAATTCTTCTTCTCATGTGGCACAGGGGAGCCAAACGATTGGACTTCCCTGCAACACAGGCTAATGGGCAAATTAAGTTTAGTAGATCATATTTTAAGTTCAGAGAGATTGGTGAAGCTTGAAGTTCTAGGAAAGAATACTGGAAACATGATCTCATATTAAGAGCTTCATAAGTCTACGTAGAGACTATTTAGATCTTTGCTGGATACTAGATCACGACACCTAGAGAGAACCTCCAAAAAGTTAAACAAAAACAAAGACTGAAGTGTTGTACATTAACAATACTAAAAGCAAAAACAGCGTAAGTAGACACTGAAGCTGTGATGATTCCTTATCTTTAGTTATCACTTGGAATTCTGCTCCACTTATCAAATGTTTATTCAGCTAATAAACATTTCTGTATACACTATTCTGTATAAACTCACTGTATTACAGTGAGTCTGAAATCAGAAAGAATACGTGCTTCAACTTATTTCATTTTTAAAAAAATGATTTTTACATTCTAAGTGTTGCATTTCCATATACATTCAAGAATGAGCTTAGTCATTTACGAAGAAATTATAACTTCCAGGATTATGATAAGAATTGCAATCAACTCAGGATAAATTTTAATAATTTTGGGTCTTACAGTAGATTTGTGTGGAATGTCTCACCATTTATTTAGATCCTTTTTAATATTTTTTAGCAAATTATTGCAGTTTTCAGTATAAATTTATTTTTCTTCTGTTAAATGTATTCCTAAGAATTTTATTATTTTGGTATTATTGTGAGTGATATTAAATTAAAAATTTTATCTTTCACAGTCTAATTTGTTTGAATAAAGTTATTTATAATGTTCCTTTGTAATATTTTTAATTTTTGTAAGATCATTCATTATGTTCTATTTTATAGTCTTTTGTCTTTTTCAATACGGCCAATCTAGCTAGAAGTTTGTCTTTTCAAAAAATCTATTCAAAAACCAACTTTCACTTCTATTAATGTCTTTTTAAGTTTTCTGCTGTCTGCTTCATTCATTTTTGATCGTTAATTTTCATTAATTTTTTACTTTCAAGTTTTTTGCTTGAAAAAACTTGAATTATTCCAATTTTTATTCCAATTTTATTCCAATTGGAATACTATTATTCCAATTTTTTGCTGTTCAAGTTTCCTTTATCTTTGCTGATTTTCCATTTGTTTGTTCTATCCATTATTGTGTATGGCTATTGCCAACTCCAACTATCATTGTAGAATTGTTTGTGTGTGTATGAATTAATTAGTATCTATGCTTACGTACGGTCTTATGTGACCCTAGCCATAAAGTTATTGTGTTTTACAAAAATTGAAGCTGAAAAAATTAATTTTTAATTTCAATATATTTCTTTGATTCTAACTTAAGTTTTATACTTTTCATCTTTCATGTGTAGTTGAGAATTTTATCAGCAGCCATGTCCAACATTTTTCTTTCATTTTTGTTTTGCTTTCTGTTTTAACATATTTATGTAATGAATTTTGTTATAGATTTCACCTGTTCATATTTCCAAGGTTTTTTTTTTCAGGTCATTTTGATTATTTACAGTTTTCTGAAAAGCATTATGTTTTTATTATTCCAATTTTATCTATAAATTTACATACAATATTACTTGTATACAGCTGTATATAGTTGTATTTTTAAGTAAAGCTGTGAGCACATTTCTGTTCCAATTGTGAAAATCCAATTTTTATCTATTTCTGTATTTTCTTAAACAAGCTTGTGAGAGTTATATATAGGTGGTTTTTTCATAATTTTTTTGCATAATTATTGCATAATTATTGTGTTTTCACATGCACTAATTAAATCTTTAATTTTGTGCATTCCAATTTTTCTTTTGCTAGATGTTTTTATAATACTTATAATATTTTACACTATTGTTTTACTCATTTATTTAACTAAAACATAATTATTTCACTTTACTTTTTTATGTTTTTTCAATCAAGGTGTTTAATACCATATTTTAACCATATTCTCCTGTCAGTTTTATAATCAATTTTGTTTTTTGCTTTATATTTTATGTATTTTTATCTCCATTTTATTTTCTATTTTTATCTAAAGATTTTCTGAGTACATTTCTTTATTTCCAGGTAGTATTTATATTATTTTTAAAATTTTGATTTCATGGTGTTATAATATGACATACAAAACCTCTGCTTTAAAAAGTTAATGTTTTGTTATTATTAATTTTTTCTTTTCTCAGATTCATCTAATGATCTTGCTTTTTGTTTCACTTAAAATTCTGAAGTTTTCCCAAGAGAATTTTCATACACTCTCTCTACCAAGCAATTTTTGTGACAATATTACACAAATGTAATAACTAAAAATGCATGCATTATTAGCTCACATTTTTCTCTGAGTTATAAGTTCAGGCATTATCTCTCTGTATCTGCTGCTCTTCTGCATTTCACAAAGTGGGATGCATTTTATCAGAATCTTGACGGGGGAAGGATCCACTGCCAACTCTCATAAATGTTAAGATTCGATTCTTTGCGTGATAACAGGCTGAGTGCCTCAGGTTTTTGCTGCCTAGCTGTCAGAGGTTGTTCCCTAATTCCTACTAAGTGAGCTTTCCCATATTTCGGCTTATTTTGTCAAAGCCTGCAAAGGAGACAGTCAATGGAGAGAGCCTGCTGCTAGCGAGGTAGAAGTTGTATGTAACGCAATCGGGAAAATGGTATCTCATCTCTTTCGCAGTATTGCATTGGTCAGAAGTAAAGGGCATATCCAAGCTACACTCAAAAGGAGAAAAGTATTAAAGGTTGCCAATATCAGGATATTGTCGGATAATTGGGGGCCAATTTAATGGCTTCCTATCACAGCTCCTAACTAAATCCAACCACCTCACTTTCTTTTTTTTTTTCTTTTTTTTTTTTTTTTTAGACGGAGTTTCGCTCTTGTTGTCCAGGCTGGAGTGCAAAGGCACGATCTTGGCTCACTGCAACCTCTGCCTCGCAGGTTCAAGTGATTCTCCTTCCTCAGCCTCCCGAGTAGCTGGAACTACAGGCATGCACCACCATGCCTGGCTAATTTTGTATTTTTAGTAGAGACGGAGTTTCTGCACGTTGGTCTTGCTGGTCTGGAACTCCCGACCTCAGGTAATCCGCCCACCTTGGCTTCCCAAAGTGTTGGGATTACAGGTGTGAGCCACTGTCCCTGGCTCCCAACCTCACTTTTATACCACATCTTAATTCAAAGTATTTAAAATTGAGTATTCTATCTACAGAGATTTTTTTCTATATATTACACATTTGTCTCATTTTATAGTATCTACTTTTTAATAAAATGCTTTTACTCCTGGTTAGTTTGATCAAATATCAGTTCATTCTATTTTTACTGTTTTCATTTTTATTTAGAAAGCCCTATAATTTTGGAGACAAAGGACTTTGCTGAATGAGATGTGACTCATATGTGCCACATCTGAAGAGATGTGACTTACACGATACTTTTACTTCTTTCTCTATTCTTCTGTTTATTATACATAAAATAATTTAATATACATGTAACTGTTTTCTACAGTCCCACTGTCAAATTTTCTCTTAGTGTCGTTATCCACTGCCTTTAAGTTCTCAGGTCTTACCAAATAAGACCTTTGATGTTCCCCATTAATTATTATTTTTAATTTAAGAAGGCGTTCTGTCTAAAATATTACTTTTTTAACTTCAGCATTCCAATTTTTTTCAATTCATAATTCATGTTTATGTTTTTCTTTTATTATAACATAAAAGTTTATAAATGCAGAGAATTATATTGATGGTCATTTGTCATTTTCAGCATTCCTGAAATCACTGGTAATATGGTCAGATAATTGTTTGCTGAAGCACTATTTCTGCTTATTAGGTCTGAAATATTACTATTGCAGTTTATTAAATATTATAATATTTGTATACTGTAAAAGAGAACAGATATCTTGGGCTTGAGGACTTATAGCAGGACTTCAGTATCCAGCTTATGTTACTAAGACAAATAATTGTCAAAAATAACAGAAACTCAACTCAAACCACACAAGATAAATAAGAAGCATTTATTGGTGTGATCATGAGATGTCTCACCTAACCACAAAAGCACTATTGACTGCCTCTCTCCTAGGAAAACAAGAACCAGAGATTGACTCTCCTGAAGATTAATTTGCACTTTCATTTTCAAAATGTCTCAGATTCATTTACTTTAATGTAAGACAAAGCTTTTCATTTAGTAGTGATGCCCACATCACATTATTTGTTCTAATACACTTATAATTCAAATATTGCAGTATTTTCATTAGTTGAAATTAAGTGCCGCTATGCTGGTGCCACCATTAAAACAAAATAACGGACAAAAACGTTCTGACAGAGCTGACGTGGGTGAATTAGCCACAGTCTGAAAAGTATTTTGGACCAAAATTAGCCTCAAGGGCACATACTTTATATTAATTGTAATACAAAGTGACAAAAAAAATCACACTGAGACAATTAGACTTCCTATTTGTAACTTATTTAATACACCAAAATTGAAAATTTTAAGTAATATTTTAAATTAATTGTGTTCAATTGAACTTCTGAATGACATTTAGGTCTATTACCAAATCCTGAAAATAAGGAATGCCATGCTACAGAGTGAAAAGGGAAGGATTTTCTACTTAAGCTTACCTGACTTTAAGTTCTAGGTTGTTCATTATCTCTAAAAACTGACTTTAATTTTTCTTTGGCCTCATTTGTAAAAAATATTCTTTATTGATTATCGTGATAAATAAATGACAACATATGTAAATATTTTACTATAGTAGTAATCTAGTATTGTTTCTAAACTGCGAGTAATTGATTTGTGGTTATATTCAGCTTTGAAGATGTAGCTTTTTAAAAACTATACTATTCTATTTTAAAACTATATTGTATTATGTCTCAATACTCCCACAATAAGAACTGATAAGAACCGATGTCACAATTCTTTACCAACCAGTAAAGTCCAGTAACCTACTTCAGAGCTTGGAGTAAGGCTTTAGGTTCACTTTGGTCCCAGAAGATATTCCAGATATGGCCTGTGATTAAATGTGCCTACTGACAGTTCTCACCTTTGATGAAACAAAGAGAGAGCAGTGGTCCCCTGAGATCTGAAAGGGTAAAAGTTATTTGTTCTTCTTGATGGTATTAACAGTCCTACGGGAAAGGTGAAGGTCCATTCTCCTCTAGAAATGAGTTCACAAACAAGGGCATTGGTGAGAAATGTGTTAAAGAGTTTATTACTGTAGGGTACAAAAATATAAAATTTCTAAACCTACTGTCTTTGAGATGAGTCCTTTCAGAAATATTAAATTTATACAAAACTATTACATCATTAAAGTAATAATGTGTTTATGGAGTTCTTGTTTCAAATTATTACATTTATTTTAAACCATACTGTAAGTTGAAAGAATTGAAAACTTTTAAGGACCACGTCCAGATGATAAGCTTAATTTTAACCAACAATTTTCTTAAATAAGATTGTTTGTCTAAATGCACCTAGATGTTATAAAAGAGAAAAAAATAACTATTTGTTTTCTGAGATTGTATGTTTACCCAAATAAAATCAATTTTAGCTAAATAGTTCTTGATTAATTGTAGTTTGAGGCATATATAACTACAATTATATTTTTATTTTTATGGTACTTTTAAATAAGATGGTTCAATATCTAAATATATTTTAATTAAAAAACCTTGTGCAAGAAATTTAAAACTTTTATCTCATACAAAATATATACCTGATAAAATAAAGCCATAGCAGGAGAGAAATTAGATTGACAACCAGCTGAATAGCAATTTAATGTTTATTTTCTCTCTTTCAGGCAGGATTATAAGCTATAATATTATAGTTTATTCACTTTATGCTACTTTGTCCTCACACATTTGTTGCCAAAACTACTCAAATCGTTTGTTCTTCGATGTTATCTTCCTTAACTTTGTACACAGCAGCAAAATGTCCAAAATACTTAGACTATTACTTGCTGCCATCCATGGTTTTGAAAAATTAATTCCAATAATAATGCATTGTGATGCATTACACAATGAAGTAAAATGAGCTTCATGATTCCTAGACACCATGATGCATACATCAAATAGAGACATATATGTATATTTCAGAAAATTGGGTGTATTTTTAATAATCTTATAGAAACTCAAATCCATTATTTTGACACTGTATTTCAATTCTACTATATACTTTTTGCTTTGTTATTTAAACAAAATATAATTTATTCTAAACATTGAAATTGGAACCTCACTGTATAATTTAATTTTAAAAATAAAAAAGGTCTAGTCCTATTTCCTGTTATTGCTATCCATATAAGAAATTACCATGCAAAGAGATCTTTGTCATTATCATCCTTGTCTCCCAATTTCTTTTAACAGTTACCAACTAAAATAGTAAAATAATGAACAAATAGTACATTTTAAACTTTTTATTTTCATCTGTTTAATAGTGGTGAAATGAATATAGCATAAAATTTATTATCTGAACTATATTAACTCTACAGCTCAATAGGATTAAATACATTCATATTGTTGTGCCAACATCACCACCATTCATCTCCAAAACACATTCCATCTTGTGAAACTGAAGCGCTGTACCCATTAAACAATAATTCCATATCCCCCATTCCCTCCAGCACCTGACAAGCACAATTCTACCTTCTGTTAATATAAATTTGACTACTTTAGGTACTGCATATAAGTAAAATAAGACAGTATCTGTGTTTTTGTGAATGGCTTATTTTATGTAGCCTAACATTCTCAAGCTTCATCTGTCCTGTGGCATATATCAGAATTTTCTTCCTTTTGAAAGTTGAACAGTATAACATTTTATGAATGTATTAGTTTGTTTTCATGCTGCTAACAAAGACACCCAAGACCGTGCAATTTACAAAAGAAAGAGATTTAATGGACTTACAGTTCCACATGACTGGGGAGGCCTCAAAATCATGGCAGAAGGCAAGGAAGAGCAAGTCATGTCTTACATAGATGGCAGCAGGCAAAGAGAGTGAACTTGTGCAGGGGAACTCCTCTGTGTAAAACCATCAGATCTCATGATACTTATTCACTATTATGAGAGCAGCAAGGGAAAAACCCACCTACATGATTCAATTAACTCCCACCAGGTCCTTCCAATAACACGTGGGAATTATGGGAGCTACAATTCAAGATGAGATTTGGGTGGGGACATAGCCAATCATATCAATGAATATATCACATTTTGTCCATTCATCCATCAATAAACACAGGTTGCTTCCACATTTTAGTTATTGTGAATAATACTGCTATACACATGTATTTAAAAATATCTGTTAATCCCTGCTTTCAATTTTTAGACTATATACCCAGACATAAAATTTCTAGATCATATGGTAAATATCTTTTTAATTTCTTTTTAGAAAATGCCTATTTTAGTTTAACTCAATGGTGGTCTCTCGTATTATCAAGTATGACTTACATAGCATGATGGGCACTACTGAGTTTCTCAAAGGTGATATTTTAAAAATATAATGACATTCTTTATTGCATTAATGAAGGAAGTGTCTTTAGGATCCTCCTGGGGAACATAGGTAGAGAGTAGATTTTCTGGTCTCATATAATCAATTCTTTCCAAGATGCCTAACTCTTAAGCTTCCCACCTCCTTCTTTAATTTTCTGCTATGGCCCTTCCAGCGTCTCCAACTCCTTTACTGTGGTCCATAATTATGTTCACTCTTTAAGGAGCAATCCCATTAGCATAATAAGATCTTCTCTAGATTTTTTTTTTGAAAATTCATTATTCATGATTAATGAAATTGTTATCTTATGCTTCACAATATCTAGAAATACAGAAATTCTGAGACAGCCTTAAAAAATAGTTCATAAAATGTAATCAACAGATTTGTGAATCAAAAAATAAAAATAAATACTTGGTGAATGTTTAGTCCACTTAAATACATCATTAAGATTTATCGACTATTAAAATAGTGGCTACCAAGGAGAATAAAATGTTGTAAACTTTAACACTGATACTATGTGAAGCATAAATACAATCAAACATACTTGCAACAAATTTTAAAACACCAAAAACTCCTATGTATTTTTTCTGTTAATTTTCTAGTCTGAAGTATGGGGAAACTCATATTAATATACCATATTTTCTTGCATATTCTACTGCTTTTCTTTTGTCTCTTTGTTGGTTATAAAATTATTTATGCAACATTATCATAGTATCAGTGTACAACAAACCCCCGTGACACAAGTTTACCTATGTAATAAACCGCACTTGTTCCCCTGAAATTATAAGTTAAGAAAAAACTAAAAAAATACAAATAAAAGTACACACACACAAACACACACACACATTTAATCTCTCAATCTTTAATCATGATAATTACTCCTAAAAAGTTGAGAAGATATGATTCTTTATGGGAAAGCTATATTTAATGAATAATGACCAAATTGTTATGGACAGGGAAGATACTAGAGAGGGAGGGAGGGTCAACTATCAGCCATTGTTGGGTAGGTTTTGTGACAGAAGTAATATTGTCACCTGAATTCAAATGTTCCAGAAAGCCAAATAAATGACACAAATTGGATTCAAGACTCACAATGGTGCAGCTGGAATCACTGATCTGTCACTTGAAAAAGTGTCAACATTAAGGAGCTATTATCAATAGCCTCAAGAGGAGGTTAAAGGTATAATCTAGTATCTAGTGATTCTTTCAGGCTCCATATAAAACAATGCCCCTTGTGATATGATGTTCCTTTTTCTAGAAGATTATATCTAGATCTAGATATGCAGTCCAACTTTAGCATGAGTTACAAGTCTGGTGTGTTGTAGTAGCATCTCCTCAGAAACACAGCATCAGGCACATACATCAGTTTGGTTTCAGGTTGTCGCACTAAATAAAAAGACCTTCCTGTGGACATCTACAGGAGTGGCTCACACAAATGAGTCTCCAATGGTGATTTGCTTCCATAATTCAGAGCCCTAGAAAGGGTGGCTTTAACTTACCCATCTACAGTGTTCAAATTGACAGGCCAAACAGTCTATTCAAAAAGCCCAGGAAATTGAGTCCTGTACACTAAGTGTAGCAACTATGTCCATTTTTGTTTCTATGTAGTTGTCTCTGAGCCCTAACAGCTACAGCAGCTCAGTAGACATTGGGTTCAGCTTAACCTCACAAGAGGGCAGAAGGATTTAGAAGAACCTCTGTTCCTATGTAAACGTAATTAAATAAATGGTGCTTAACAGAAGCTCACAACATGTGGAATGTTATCCTAACACCCAAAAGTGAAAAAAGACCTGATCTGTAAGAAATCTTGGGGAAGAGGTTATCAGACAGAGGGAAGGGCCAGTGCTAGACCCTTGAGGCTCACCCTCAGAATATAACAGGGACAGAAAGAAGACCAATGTGACCCATTAGCAACAATCCTTGAAGGTAGTCAAGAAATGGTAATAGGAAATGAAGAAAAATATAAATAAATATCAGATTATTTACGAAACCAACATAATTTTGGTATTTTTCTAAATAAAATATAAAAATAAGAATTTTTATATTAATGAAATAATAGGAAAATGTGAATAAAATAACAAATACCTGGATTTGTTATTTTAGCCAATTTTAACATTTTACCATGTTTGTTTCAGAAGAATATATATATGTGTGTGTGTGTGTGTATATATGTATATACAGAAGCTGTTAGAAGCAGGTAGGTCATTTTTTGAAGGCTTTGTTGAACAAAATTTTTTCTACCAGATGCCCTAAGTCATCACTCTTAAATTCGATTTCCACATATCCCCCTAGGGCATGAACATAATGCAGCCAAGTTCTTTGCTGAGGCATAACAAGGATGACCTTTACTCCAGTTTCCAATAGGGTCCTCATTTCCATCTGGGACCTGGTCAGGCTGGAGGTCACTGTACACATTTTTATCAGCATTTTGGTAAGAACCATTTAACCGGTCTCTAAGAAGTTACAAGCTTTCTTTCATCTTCTGTCTTCTGAGACCTCCAAACTGTTCCAAAGTCTCTCTGCCCATTACTCAGTTCCAAAGTTGCTTCCACATTCAGGTTTCTTTACAGCAATACCACACTTCTGGTACCAATTTTTTGTATTAGGCTGTTCTTGCATTGCTATAAAGAAATACCTGAGACTGGGTAATTTATAAAGAAAAGACATTTAATTGGCTCACAGTTCTGCAGGCTGTACAGGAATCATAGCACTAGTATCTGTCTTGGCTTCTGGGGAGGCCTCAGGGAGCCTTTACTCATGGTGGAAGGTGAAGCAGGGATGGCAAGAGTGGGGTCAGGAGAGAGCGAGAGGGAGATGACACTCAATTTTAAACAGCCAGATCTCACATTAACATCCTCACTATCATGAGGACAACATCAAGGAGATGGCACTAAACCATTCGTGAAAAATCAGCCCCCATGATTCTTCCAGCCCTACCTCCAATATTGGAGATTACACCTCAACATGAGATTGGGAGGGGATGTCCAAACTATATCAGATGATCATTTAAATTTTAAATATCTTATTGCTAGGAAAATTGACAATCTCATTATCTGTTCATTCATTATTCATGTTTTCTATCCTGTTATTTTTTTATTTATATTCTTTGCCCATGTTTTAGTCAATTCATTATAATTTGTCTTACTGATTTTAAGAAGTTGTATCTATATTTCATATATTAATATATTTCATATACTACTGATTTCCTGGTTACATGCAAGGAATTGTCTGTTTCTATCATACCTTCTCACACTGTGCATACGTTTTTACTTTTATATTTATTGAACTATATATTTTCCAGGTAATACAGTTACTCAATATCTCTGTTACAGATATTTAATGAAAGAGGAACTTCCTTTTGGGCAACAGCAAACTATATCATAAGTAGTACTCTTGTCATAAGATTAGTGGTTTCAGTTCTTATCATTTTTCTGAGGCTATTTGTTCTCCATTTCTGCACTGTTTTTCCTGACTCTGTTGTGGTCTTCACAGTCATAAGTTCCACAGGGTGGCCCCTCTTTGCAATTAAGTTAAAACTACTACAGGAAGGTTAAAATGTATTAGTTTCCTGCATTTCAGGATTATATATGGTACCTACTTACAGTATTCAAGTGGTAATCAAAGGAGGGGGGAGTGGGGTTGAAGAAAAGAAAGAGATGGAAATCAAAGAGCCAAAGTTTAGATTATGCAGGATAAATGTCTAGAAATGTAGACATGTCTAGCCATGTACTGCATGAAAACTATTGTACTATAGTATTCAAGTGCATTTATTTAGTTGGATAGTTTTGCTGTGTGGCTTGCTGCCTATGAATTTCTTATTTTTAAAGGCAGAGAGCCATCTTGAACTAAGATATATAATGCCAAAAAGACGGTGTCGTCAAACAGCCATGGATATGATCAAGAGAATATCACACACAACTTGGTATGAGGCAAATTATTCACTAGAACTTTTTTTACATTGTCCCAACTAACATAAAGAACAGACTTACAGTATATTTTCATGTAGTCCTGGCAACCCACACTTACTCTATAAAGGTATTTAGAATAAAAATGAGTCTTTAACATAACAGCGATGTATCTTCTAAGGGTTAAAGGAAAAAGCTATAATAGAAGCTGAAACTATCATTGGCCTTCCCATAGAAATATTTTGTGGTCTAATCCCTATTGCTCTTTTGTGTGTTTTTGTTTTGTTTTTTTAAAGTAATATAACCTCTATTTACTTCTCTGTGTTAACAACCAGGGTTTAAAACATCATATACTGGCATGGCTGTTGTCTATTTAAATCAAAGAGGTCTTCATTCTTTTTTGTATTATTTAATGTAGAATATGATGTTTTTATATACTATATGTAGGGAAAATATTACTACAGTGAATAAAATTAACATATATACAGTCTCCAATTGTTATATTCTTGTGTAGGAACAGTACCTAAAATCTACTTTTATCAAATTTCCTATATACTGTACAATAGTTTTCATGCAGTATATTTCTAGACATTCATTCTGCATAACTGAAACTTTAGACCCTTGACTTCCGTCTCCTTTCTTTGACCCCACTCCCACCTCTTCCACCTCTGATAACCACATTTCTATCCTGTTTCTATACATTTGAGTTTTGCTTTGTTTTATTTTAGATTTGACATATAAGTGAGATCATGCGGTATTTTTCATTCTGCGGATTATTTTACTTGGCATGACTTGGAAAGAATTTTTTGGATGTTTCACCAAAAACACAGGCAACAAAAGCAAAAGTAAACAAGAAAACGCAGCCAACAGATTCAGGAAAAAAATTTGCAAACCCACTGTCTTTTGAACAGCAGCCTATCATTCACACAGACAATTATTAAGGTGTCAGATCACTGAGGCCTGATTTATTCAACTAGTGTTTTCTACTGACAGATATTTAGGTTGAAATTCACCATCTTGTTGGTAATTCCGATGAAATGAGTAAAACTCTTTATATTATAGTGTCAAGGATTCCATAACTTCTGGAGGGGAAAGTCTTCATAGAGCACTTCCTAAATTCAAGTTGTATATAATACTTACTGTTTTTTTCTATACAATTGAAATACATCCCCAGCTCCTGCCTGAGTTGATAAGGTTTTAAGATAGATAAAAAATATTTTCCCATTTAAATATATATCTCTGATTATTATTATTATTTTTTTGAGATGGAGTCTTGTTCTTGTCGCCCAGGCTGGAGTGCAGTGGTGCGATCTCGGCTCACTGCAACTTCCACCTCCCGGGTTCAAGCAGTTCTCCTGCCTCAGCCTCCTGAGTAGCTGGATTTACAGGTGCCCACCACCATGCCTAGCTAATTTTTATACTTTTAGTAGAGACATGGTTTCGCCATGTTGGCCAGGCTGGTCTTGAACTCCTGACCTCAGATGATCCACCCGCCTTGGCCTCTGAAAGTGCTGGGATTACAGGTGTGAGCCACCACACCCGGACTTGATTTTGATCTTAAATAAATGCTGATAACATTTTTAAGTTATTTATAATCTTAGGAGATGCTTACATTTTGACTTACGGGTTGATATTCAGTCTCGTCTTAATATATATGAAATGAGCACCCTTACATTAATTATATGTAATACAGAATCCCAATTTCTCATGAGCCTTCGGTAAAACAAAATATCCATTTCCTCACAACTGTGCACATTTTAAATTTCAAAAGAATTAAGGAAATTATAAAATAAACATAACATATCAATATAAAATACAGTAAGATAACAAAATTTCAAACTGGAAATACATCAGGTATTACACCTTTTACACATTTTCTGAAAATTCAAGTAAATTTTTTTAATACATTCATATGATTTTCAAATTATCCAGGCACTCCCAGAACCATTTGATAACATATACCTTTTTTTAACAATTAAAATGTATCTCAATTAGAGTATATTGATGTAAAGGTAGAATTATTTAGATTCACTCAAAAACCTAAATTCTTATACTGAATCAAACATGTAAGGTACCAAAGTCTCTATTTTGTATTCTGCAGTAACAGCACTTATTAAAATAGAATAAATCAAGAGAAACATTTTATTTATATTACGTTTAGCCAATAATTTTTCAATGTCATGATTTAATATTGATTAACTTTAGGATTTAAAATAATATTTAATGATAATTTGAAATTAATGTTATATAGGCAAAAAGTAATGATATTAAATCTGCCACTTACCAAAGAAGGAATATGTAGCTGACATTTCACCTTCCCAGAACCTGGGACTTTGTTACCAGACAACATTTAAACACGTGAGACTCAGCTCCAAGTTCTTTTGATTAATTCCCATATGAATTATCCTCATAATTAAAAAAGTTAAATTTCTATTTTTGTGCTTAAATCTCTGCTTTGGAAAATAGTGATAGAAAAAGCAGTTTAATACGTAAATAGGTGTTCAATGTCATCTTATCTTTCTGGTGAAAGTTCAACAAAATATACATTCAAGCAAAATAACTAAATATAAACCCTTTGCATTTACTATTGGTATAGGTGTGTGTGTGTGTGTCAGCGTGCGCGTGTGTAGACAGAGAGACAAAATGAAAGAGAGATTTTTTTTTTTTGCCAGCCCACATATTCATTAAGACAATTAGAAAGATTTCAGGCTATCTGTGACATATTCTGTGACAACTAGTGAATTTGTACAATAGAGGAATAGCCTAGAGATCCTCATATTGTTATATATCTCTAATGAAAAGAGCATCCCAAACCCCAAAATCTGAAATCTGAAATGCTCCAAAATCTAAAACATCTTTCAAAGCTGACTAAGGAAATGCTCATTGGAGTATTTCGAATTTTGTATTTCCTGATTTGAGATGTGCAAGCACTATAATGTAAATAGTCCAAACTTTTTATAAAAAGCCAAAATCCAAACCTTCTGGTCCCATGTTTATGGTGGATTGCTATTTGTGAGATTTTTTTTTTCTTTTACACAGTTCTAAAGTCAGGAACAACATCTAGGAAAGCTTATATTTTATTCTCATTAGATTGTAGACTTTGGATTCTCAATTTAATGTGGTAATCTCCTATCACATTGCATTGCTTAGGCATTAAGCTTTATCACATGTCCTAGTTGCTAGAGCAACCATCAAAGCAGCTCAAGTTCTCAAATATTAAACAGAAAGCTTCAGGGCAAAAGGTGGTTTGGTGTTCTCTTATTGCCAAGAATTGATACTTTCAACTTGTTTTTGGTATCTGTGCATTACTTAATTTTATGAACATTTTCCACTGGATCTTAAAATATGTTTTTAAATATTATATCATACATTTAGTTGTGACAATCTAAAAGGTCATTCAGCATATCTAATCTCCTGAATTTCCAGAAATAGAAGAGAGACCTGTTTTTATGGTCCAATTCATCTAAATATCCTTAATCAGCTTTAATAGTACTTTTGTGAAATTGTAATCAATAAAATTCAGCAGCTGTAGTTCATTAGGTGTTTCTAGTTTAACGCATGCTGGACCAGAATAATAAATGGGACATGGTAATTCTTAGAGAAATGCCTGATAGGATTTTGTTGTACGACTGCTACCTATTACATAAACAGAAACACTCATTTTAAACTAATTTTTGACTAAGATATTTTACTATTAGTACTATAATTTTAAAAAACATAAATTAATACCTAGGACTTCCAGATATAGTTTTTAAACAAAATTATTTTAGTAGTAACATCAGGACAGTTCTCTCGATGCCTTTAGACTGACCCATTTCTCCCACTTTCTTGCTTGTAGTTCTAAAGAATCATTCTAAAATGGACTGGAAATACAACATTCCGAGTTAGAGAGGAACTGTCTGGTACAGCCCGGGGATTGTTCCTCTCTCCTCTGGAATCAGGATGTGCTTCAAAGTTTTGTCCAGTGAACCGCCTCACCCCTGAGGTATATAACCCAGGGAGGACTGCCTTTTTGGGTCCCTCAGCTGTGGTGCAAGCGGGACACACACAGCTGAGACTCCATCTGCCCTGGAGAAGCTTTCTTGGGGTACAAGCTGGCAATAAATCCTAGCTTCTTTTGTCTCTGGTGCCTATCTGTAAGTAATAAATCCACTTCATATAACTTGTTCCACATACCCAGCTCTGCCCAATACACAAAAACAAAAAAGTTATCTAGTCCAAAATGTCAATATTACCAAAGTTCAGAAATCCTAGCATAGATCCATATGATATAACAGACAATGTGAATGATACTGGGAAAAGCAGACAGGAGGAAGCCAGACAAAGTTAAAGCATTGTGGGAAAAACACTATGGGCAAAAGCACAAACTAAAGGGAGATGGAGATGGGTTAAAAATCTTGTGATACAGGAAAGAAGCAATCTTAGCAATTCTAAGGAGGAAATTTAAGACACAGCCAAAAACAGAGAGAGCAAAAATAGAGAGAAATCATCTAATCAGGCCCCAAGGTACAGAGAGTGAAATCAGACAGATAACACAAACAGTGGAAAATATAATCTAGAGAGATAAAACCTACATAAGATGTAAACTTCTAACAAAGCAGTTTTGTTTTCAACTCTCTAAGGTATTTCACCCTCCAAATTTCAAGTTCTTAGAGAAAATGCTCTTAAGTAAATTGTTCAAAACCTGCACAATACATCAGATAGAAAACCAAGCTCAGAAGCAACATTAAATGTTCTGTTTCTTTACCATTTAAGCAATAAATGAATATCTCCTGCTCAAATATAATTATCTTTTTTTCTGCTAAACAGGTTGTTCAGCATTTCATTTTATTACAATGTATGTTAATGTGTCTTGCAATTTCTCTCAAATATTAGTCTGGACTAAACTCACAGATTTGGTAGGAATAGTTTTTATACATTGCTTCTTTCTTTTACAAAGCACATGGTTAATATAATTTAAAATGATAAGAATAAACTTACCTATAGTCTATAATTCTAGACTCACTTTATCTGATATGAAAATGTATTTTAATAACTGTGTTTTCTAAATTGGTTAAATCTATTTACAGATATGTACTCTGTAAAACTGTTCCTATCAATGACTTTAAATCAGTATAATTCCACTTTCAATTATTTTGTAGAAATCAATTGCTTTATGCTTTAAACAGCTTATTCTTACATGTGCCATAAATGTCAACTCATGAAAATATCTTCCTACATACAGAAGATGATATTATAAAGGGTCATTCTGATATAAGGACGGTAGGAAAACTAAATTATCTTTGCCATTAATGCTGATGTTGCAGTGGTAATTACCACTTAAGATCTAGTGAAATTATAATTTGAGGGCAATTTCTTACTGAGTTGATCATCATCTGGATTCACTGCTTTGTAACTGGTTTAATAGTAGCAAGTAATATTTGAAGAAAACAGAAAATGATTTGTATTCATTTAAGGATCTGTGAATAATTCAGTCTCTGAGAAACAAAAACAGAAATGTACTTTCATCTTGAAATATAATATTAAAGTATTAATATATAAATATAAAATTATGATGGTGTGCAAATAATAACTTCAGTAAATGAAATATTTCTAATGAAGTTTTGGCAAGGCATAATATATCTTTGAAGGATATTATTGGTCCTGATTTGTGCATTGTCTTGAAGTACTGCTTGAGAAATGTTTGCTTGCTCCTTTTTCTAAATTTTACATAAAGCTTAATGCATTCTTTATTTTTTTATGTATTTCTTGGAAAATTATCTTTAAAATGACCATATAATATAAAAATGTATTTTCATTATGTTTATGTTGTTTTACATTGTAAAATAATTGAACAATTTTTTAAAAGTTTTAGTCAGAGACCTCCTAGAACTGTTTATGTCATGCTAATTTCCATGAACATGTATATCAAAATTACCTAGGCACATGATTTAAAGCTATATCTATATTATTTTTGTGTGTATAAAATTAGAGAATATAGGATAAAGTGTTACTATAACCTTCCCATGCCATTCAAGCATATATGAATCTCACTTTCTAAATATTATATAAAAATAATAGTAACTGTATTTTAATTGATGTCAATATAAATGAGAAATAACTTTAATACAGGTTATTATATGTTTTTAAAAGTATTCACTATGAGCCTTAATGTCTCATAGAAGAGGGAAATTAGTCTATCATTATTTGCACATCATGTTTCAGAAATTAAGTTAGATAATTAGTATCTACTAGCTCCTTGATCCATCACATAGGTATTTGATCTCATCACATGGGAAGAGAAATAATTATCTTGCATAATTATCTTGAATATATACATTTTTGTGAAAAATTCAAACTTATATATTTGTAACTATAGCTATGAAATTCTTACCGATAGGCATATGTTTTGAAAAAGGTCTCATTAGGCAATTTTGTCATATGAAAACATCATAGAGTGTACTTACACAAACCAAGATGGTATAGCCTACTATACACCTAGCTGTGTGATACAGTCTATTGCTCCTAGGCTGCAAACCTGTACAGCATGTTACTTTATCAAATACTATAGGCAAGTGCAACACAATGGTAAGTATCTGCATATTTAAACATATCTAAACATAGAAAAGGTACAGTAGAAATATAGTATAAAAGATACGATATGGTACATCAATACAGGGAACTTAACAATGAATAGAGCTTGCAGGACTGAAAATTGCTCTCCATGAGTTATTGAGTGAGTGGTGAGTGAATGTGAAGACGTTGGACATTACTGTGCACTACTGTAGACTTTATAAACAATGTATACTTAGGCCACACTAAATTTATAAAACAAGCTTTTCGTCAATAATATCAATCTTAGCTTACTGTAATTTTTTAACCTTAATAACTTTGATTTTTTAATTTTTTGAGTCTCTTGCAGTAACAGCTTTAAACACAAACACATTGCACAACCATACACAATTATTTTCTTTATATCCTTATTCTATAAGCTTTTTCTGTTTTTAATTTTTTTAACTTTTTAAACTTCATTGTTAAAAAACTGAGACGCAAACACGTACATCAGCCTAGGCCTACGCAGGGTCAAGATCGTGAATATAACGTCTTCCATTCCACATCTTGTCTCACTGGAAGTAGTAGTAATGTGCATGAAGCTGTCATCTCCTGTGATGATAATGCCTTCTTCTGGAATATCTCCGGAAGGACCTGCCTGAGCCCTGTGGTTAACTTTACTTTCTTTAAAGTAGAAGGAGCATACTCTAAACTAGTAATAAAATATAGTGTAGTAAATACAGAAACAGTAACGTCGTCATTTACTATCAAGTATTGTGTACTGTACACAATTGTATATGATATACTTTTATGAATTGGAGCACAGTACTGCAGCAAGTTTGTTTACATCAGCATCACAAATACCTAAGTAATGTGTTGAACTACAACATTATAGCAGCTACAGCTACAATATCACTAGAGGATAGGAAATTTTCAGATCCATTATAATCTTATGTGATAATCATCATATATGCTGTCCATTGTTGACTAAAAAGTTGTTATGGGGCACATAACTATAGATAGTTTATAATGGCCTGATATGGAGTAGAAAAATATGTGTCTTATTTATTTCTGTTAAACTGGAAGTCCAGATAAATATCTTTCTATATGGTATTTATATATTTAACTATATTAAACCCATTTAAATTATTTTTAGTACTTAAAATATCAAACATTTAGCAAACAATATTTTGTCTCATCTTCATGATAAAAAAAACATAAGGCCCAACAATTTACTTAATAAATTTGGTAAATTATGTATCAATTTATTTGGCAAATTAATAATATTGATAAATATATCAATGATAATAAAGTGGTGTAAGTAAATTTTGTGTTACTTTTTAGCTTGGCTATGTTTATTATGTAAATCAAATACACTGAAGGGTTGTACAACATCAAATTTAGAGGCATGTTTGACATCATTAAAACTTCAGAGGCTTGGAAATCGATAAAGACATATGTTTTAACTTCTGTATATCAGTTTCTTGAAATGTGTTATTGACCTAGAAACATAACCACTTTAATTCTTAATTTCTCATTCTGTAAAATGGATCTTTATGTACACTTTCTTTTTAGAATGAAAGTCTTTCACATAGAACTTGGTATTCTCTAAATTCTCCATAACTGGTAGCAAGTATAATAATAATGACATGAAATGACCAAACATAAGCATCTTCACGACTTTTACAGGAAAATAAAAGTTGTTAATTTTGAATATGGGCTCATTACAAAACTTTTGATTTATTTAAGTATATCAGTGGGTTTACACAAATGAGTGCCTTTGTTTGGATGTGCCGTTTGTGTTAGCCTCTATTATTTGTTAAGAAAATTAATAACTCACTACTGGTTTTGGTTTTACTTTTTTTTCATTTAATGCTTAGAAAATACAGCAAAACTCAATTTAGTTGTATGTTTTTAAAAAACATGGAGGTATAATTGATATATAAAAAGACATATAAAAAGGGAGTATATTAGAAATAAAAATCAATATAAGTGCAATAAATAATATCAAATCCTGAAATTTATGCTCCATGCTCCGTTTTCTCATTATTTTGACATTTCTTATGTTTCACTCCAAATAAGGAAACTGCTATTTTGAAGACTGTTTCCTAGTTTTTTAAACATAGCATTATTTTTCTCAATATAGTCAGCAATACGTGTTTTATTTTCTTAAAGATATCTAGTGCAGCCATCATATAAATAAGAAAAATGAAATTCTCCTAAAATAAATCAAAAACTTAAATTATTTCACTTATTTTAGAATGAGAAATTTATAGCTCTAATTTTGAGTGCACCATAGTGTTTGATGGTGGATTTATGTCTGGTATGGTTGTGTACCATTTCAAATTGCTTTGCATAGGTACAAATAAATTAAAAATTTAGAAGAAGTCAAAGCTTTTATATCAAATTTATTTATATTTTATTGTTTTTAATAAATTACATATTTAAAGGATTATATTTTTTCTCTCATACTGGAAAAAATAACATCTTCAAATATTGGATTGGGTCATTCTTTCAAAACATTTATTGTCAAACAAGATAATCCTTGCTTCTGAAACAATAAAAGCATGCAAACTGACTAGATTTTTAGAAAACAGTCCTAATTGGCCATAGTCGCTTTACTGCGCTGTGTTGATTTCCGCCCAGGCAAAGGATATGAACAGACACTTCTTAAAAGAAGACACTTACGTGGCCAATAAACATGTGAAAAAAAGCTCATCATCACTGGTCATTAGAGAAATGCAAATCAAAACCACAATGAGATACCATCTCATGCCAGTTAGAACGGCGATCATTAAAAAGTCAGGAAACAACAGATGCTAGTAGGGATGCAGAGAAATAGGAACGCTTTTATACTGCTAGTGGGAGTGTAAATTAGTTCAACCATTATGGAAGATAGTGTCATGATTCCTCAAGGATATAGAACCAGAAATGCCATTTAACCCAGCAATCCCATTACTGGGTATATACCCAGAGGATTATAAATCATACTACTATAAAGATACATGCACACGTATGTTTATTGCAGCACTATTTACAATACCAAAGACTTGGAAGCAACCCAAATGCCTATCAATGATACACTGGATAAAGAAAATGTGTCACATATACACCATGGAATAATATATGCAGCCATAAAAAATAATGAGTTCATGTCCTTTGCAGGGACATGGATGAAGCTGGAAACTATCATTCTCAGCAAACTAACACAGGAAAGGAAAACCAAATACCACATGTTCTCATTCGTAAGTGGGAGCTGAAAAATGAGTACACATGGACACAGGGAGGTGAACAGCACACACCAGGGCCTGTCAGCGGGTAGGAGAAAAGGGGAGGGAGAACATTAGGACAAACAACTAATGCATGTGGAGCCTAAAACCTAAATGATGGGTTGATGGGTGCAGCAAACCACCATGACACATGTATACCTATGTAACAAACCTGCATGTTCAGCACATGTATCCCAGAACTTAAAGTAAAAACATAAAAAATAAAAATAAAAAAAATGCTCATGATATTCTTTGTAGTTTTTAAAAAAATAATACATGTATAAATATTCATAGAAAAATAGGAAGGATATAAAATAAAATGTTAATATTTTAAAAAAGAAAACAGTCTTAATTTACTCTAGACAACCCCAACGAATCACCATAAAATTGAACAAATTTAACCTATATCCCCTTCATTAATATTCTCATCTTCTTCCATAAATCATGTTACATTTTGTGATAGACAGGCAAATCATTTTTCAGAATAAAACGAGGTCAAACAAACAAAAAAAATCAGGACGAGTTCTACTGAAGTTTATGTGGAGGCAGGAGAGTGTATTATTCAAATATTTGTCTATTAAGCTAGACGTAATAGTACTTAAACGTGTGAAATTCCTGTGCCCCACTTGCCTTTCAAGCAGTTGCCCCTAAATATTTTGTCTTTCAACTGAACTTTTGATAAATATTGAATGGTAGCAATAAAAAATGGTATTCGCTGGTAACTGCAAGGGAGACATTTATTTTATGTATCTGGAGGGACAGTGGCATGAGGAGGTATCCACTCCAAAATAAAATTGCAAAGGGAAAAAAAGAAATAACACTCTAGGGTAATATTCAGATAATTCATCATTATTAATATAGATTGGAAGATTAAGTAAAGTCTCTCCCATCTAGGGAGGGATTAAAACCTTTCAAGGCATGCTTTCAATTAGGAAATATTTTGCTTTGTGTGTTTTTTTTTAATCATGGCCCTACAAACTATGCTAACTGTTTATATTAAGAAGAAAATATCCTAATGTCTATCTTGGTCTCAGTGTCAGTGTTCAGTGTGTGTGTATTTATTTGGCGGTGTGTAGGTATGGTGTGCTTTGTTTTGTTATTGTTATTTTTAGTTTGTTTATTCAAAAGATGTGTCCACATTACAGATGGAATTATCAGTGCTTCAGGTAAATTAAAAGGTTCTCTTGTCTATGTGTACAATATAACAAAAATCTCAGTCAAGGTAAAAATTTTAAATGGTTATGGAGCTGAATGTAAACTATTTCTTTTTTAAAGTACATGATTTGCAAAATGTAATGATCTTAAAAGAATGAAGCCAGGGTTATTACTTTTTATTTCTTTGGCTTGATTTCTATTACTAAAACTCCTGTTGTAATAACTAAAATATATTAAATTCATTTTGTATGGTGAGTGATACCTGTATTATTTATTTACATTTACTTTCTATGATGTCATGCATGATTTCCTTTCTCTTCATTAAATACTAAAGCCATTTGTGATATTATGTAATATTATTTGATATTTCAAAAGAAAAATATTTAAAAGATTATGTTAGAATACTAGATCTGAAATCTTAAGTTTATTTACTCTGATCCCATGGACTCATAGTAAATATGTAAGTAAGTCTTTAAATTATAATATGTAATTTTCTTGGCTTAAAGTTACATTTTCCTAAGAACAAACAGCTTTATTTTCCCAAGATGACACATTTATTAAATACCTCTTAAGGCTTATTTATTCATTTAAGTTCCAAAGTCATTCCCAAAAGCATACCATTTTAAATTTTATTCGTATAAATGGTAATTCCTGTTGGCTATTTCTGTATCTTCTTTAGAAAAAAATGTCTATTCAAACCCTTTGTCCATTTTTGATTAGATTATGGCTTTTGTTGCCATCGACTTGTGTGAATTTTTTACATATTTTGAATATTTACTCCGTAGCATATATATGGTTTGAAAATATTTCTTATTTGATAGGTTGTGCTTCACTCTGTTGAATATTTCCTTTGTGGAACAGATGCTCTTGAGTTTGATATTGTTCCACTTGCCTATAATTTTGCTTTGGTTGCTTGTGATTTTGGTGTCATATTGAAGAAATTATTTTCAAGACCAATTGATATGGTTTGGATATTTGTCCCCTCCAAATTTCATGTTGAAATGTAATGCCCATTGTTGGAAGTGGGGGCTGTTAGGAAGTGCTTGGATCGGGGGGCAGATCCCTCATGAATGGCTTAGCACCATTCCCCTGGTGAAGAGTGAGTTCAGAGTTCACTTGAAATCTAGTTGTTTAAAAGTGTGTGTCACCTCCCCCTGCTTCTTGTTCTTCCTCCTCCCATGTGATTTGTCTACTTCCTCTTTCACCTTTCACTATGATTGTAAACTTTCCGGGGCCTTCCCCGAAGCTGAGCTAATGTTGGTGCCATGCTTGTACAGCCTGCAGAAACGTGAGCCAATTAGATCTCTTTTGCTTATAAATGATCCAGCCTCAGATATACCTTTATAGCAGTGCAAAAATGGCCTAATTCACCAAGGTTATGAAACTTTTTCTTTTGTTTTCCTCTAGGTGTTTTACATTTTTAAGTCTTATATTTTTCTTGAATTCCTTTTAATTTTTGTGCATGGTGTAAGATAAGGGTCCAGTTTCATTCTCTTGTGTGTAGACATCAAGTTCTCCCCGCACCATTTGTTGAAGAGACTACCTTTTCCCCATTGTGCTTTTTTGGCATCCTTGTGGAAGATCAGCTGACCGTATATGCGTGGGTTTATTTCTGAGCTCTCTATTCTGTTACATTGGTCTATATGTTTGTGTTTATGCCAGTAACATACTGTTTTCATTATTGTAGTGGTGTAGTTGTGCAATACATTTTGTAATCAGGAAGCATGATGCCTTCAGTTTTGCTCTATTTTTCTCAAGTTTTTGGGGTCCATTGTGGTTCTATGCACATTTTAGAATTTTTTTGTTTATTTCTGTAAAAATGTTTTTGGAATTTTGATAGTGATTGCATTGACTTTGTAGGCTGTATTAAGCAGTATGGAAATATTAATAATATCAGGTCTTTCAATCCATGAACATGTATGTCTTTCCATTTATTTGTGTCTAATTATTTTCAACTAAGCTTTGTAGCTTTCACTTCTTGTAAGTTTATTCCTGTGTCTTATTATTATTAATGCTATTGCAAATGGGATTTTCTTAATTTTCATTTTGAATGGTTGATTATTAATGTGTAGAAAAAGGACTAATGCAAATTAAAACCACAATGAGATATCTCACACTCGTTAGGATGGCCATTATAATAAAAACAAAAGATTACAAGTGTTGATGACTTTGAGAAGTTGGAAACCTTGTACAGTGTTGGTGGGAATGTAAGATGGTGCAATCGACATGGAAGACTATGAAGTTTCTTCAAAACTTTAAAAATTATTTAATAATGTTATTAAAAATAACATTCAAAAATGTTCCAGCAATCCCACTTCTATTTATCCAAAAGAATTAAAATCAGTATCTCAAGAGATATCTGCAGTTTCATGTTTATTGTAGCATTATTCAGAACAGCAAAGAAATAGAAATCACCTGAACATTCACTGACAGATGAATGAATAAAGAAAATGTGGTATATACGTATAATAATGTATTATTTAGCCTTTAAAAAGAAGGAAATCTTTTCATATAAGAAAACAGGGATGAACCTTGAGAACATTATACCAAATAAATAAGACAATCATAGAACGACAAATAATGCATGATCGTACTTATGCATTATTAATATACTTATGAGGTATATAAAATGTCAAAATCAGAGAAGCAGAAAATAAAATGGTGCTGGCCAGGGATTGTGGGGGAGAAATAGGGAGTAAAATTTTACCTTTGTATTCATTACAAAATGGAATAAAAGTGATGGGAGTGAAAATCCTTACCTTGCTACCAATCGCAGGTGTGTGGAGGGGTGCTCATTCAGTCCTTCCTCATTAAGTATAACACATGTAAGTCTTTTGTGGAAACTCTCTATCAGGTTAAAAACGTTTCTTTCTTGTTTGGTTGGAATTTATAACTTAAATAATTATTGCATTTTGCAAAATACTTTTTTGGCATCTATTGAAGTGATAAAATAGTTTACTCCATTTGTTTTTCTACGAGTGTGGTGTGTTAAAATATTTTCTGTTGTTAAAACAAACTTACATCCCTGGTATAAACCACACATGCTTATGATGCACTATCCTTTTTATATTTTGCTAATTGCATTTATTAAAATTTAAGAATTTTTGAATATGTATTCATGGAAAATAGATATGTTTTGTCTGTTTTAAAATTATGCCCTTGAAAATAAATTGGTAAGTGCCCCATCTTCTGTTTCCTAACAGACTGATACAGAATGGATTATTATTATTATCATTATTTTTGATTTTAGGTATATCAGTGAAGCAAACCATGTCTATAATCTTCTCTTTTTTAAAGAGTTTTAATTGTAAATGCATTTCTTTAAGTAATATAAACCTATTCATGTTTTCTATTTATTTTTCTGCCGGGTTTCAGAAAGAGTGGTTTCAAGGAATTTGTTCAGTTTTTCTAAGTTGCTTATGGTTCTCTAATAATGTCTTCATAACATTCTTAATATTGGTAATTAGTGAGTTCTCTCACTGTTTTTATTCATCAGTATATCTAGATGTTTATTGTTTTTATTATGTTTAAAAGCAGTTTTTAATTTTATTGATATATTCTATATTTTGTTCAATAATTTCTGCGTCTATTTCCATTCTTATACTTACTCGGAGATTAATTTGTTCTTTTAAAATATAATTATGGAGAAGGCTTAAGTCATTGATTTTATCATATCCTATCCATTAATGTCATAAAAGGTACAGGTTACCTTGTGGATATGAAGTAGTTCATACCAATTTTGACATACTGTGTTTTATCATTTAATTTATAAATTTTAATATTTCTTCACTGTTTTTGTTAATTTGTGAGGTTTGTAAAAAATCTGTGTTGTTCAATTTGCAAATATTTTGTGGCCTCACATATATTAATCTACTGATTTATAATTTAACTTGTGATCAGAAAATATAATCTGTATAATTTCTATTATTTAAATTCTATTGTGTTTTGTTTTATTACCTAGACGATAAAGTAGATTGGTGAATGTATAAGGTATTAGGGAAATAATGTACAGTTTTCTGTTTGGGGTCAGCATGTTTTATAAAATCAATTAGTTCAAGTGTCTTAATATAATTTTTCATGATACATGTATCTTAATTATCTACAAATCCCATTGATTTCTCAAATGATAGTTGAATTTACCTAAAATTTGAAGAATAATCCTGATGTCAAATTGTTTACATTTTGTTTAAAAACGAAATTGTTGTGCTTTAATTCTGAAGGATATTTTTGTTGAATAAAGAAATCTACCCCTTCTTACTCGAAATTTAATTCCAAGATCTTCTCTCTTGCAATTTGTTTATGGAGAAGCTTGCAGTCATTCTTAACATTCAGCATACCTACACTTTTTGTCCTCTAGCTGTTTTTAAGGTTTATCTCTATCTTTGGTTTTCAGTATTTCAATTATGATATGCCAAAAAGATTTTTGTGGCGTTCATCCTGCTTGGAGTTGATTGAGATACCTGTATAAATGCGTTAACAATTTTTATCAAATTTAGAATTATTTTGGTAACTAAATCATTAAATATTTTGTGATATGTATGTTATGTTTGTATATATATATGAAATATAAATGTGTGTATACATATATTAATATTGTTTACCATGCTTACACTTATTTTGATTTCTACCATATCTACATTTACTTATACTTTTAAATTTTATGTATTTTATTATATATTATTTTAACATGCATTATTGAGGTATAAATGACATAATGAATTGCACATACATAAAGTATATATTCTGTTATATGTTGACATATAGGACATATGGTTATACTTACTTTCCCACTGTTTGAAGATGCTTTGTCCATTTTTAAAGTTTTCTATTTTCTATTCCATTCGATACTCTTTTGATGTCTTCATTAATCTTTTCTTTTGAAGTGCCTAATCTGTTTTTAAGTTTGTTCAATGCATTGTTATTTTTTTCCTAATTTCATCTCTAGAAGATACATTTGTGGGGTTTTTTTTATATGTTCCTTTCTCTTTTCATTACTTGGTAAAAGTCTTTGAACAGGTATATGCATATGAGATATGTTACTTCTATTCTCAGGGATCACATTCTAGGACTCCTTATTGCACAATAGCTGAAAACAGTTGTTTTATGTGTAATTTTCCGATTTTCTACTTATATCAGGTGGAAAGGCAAGCCAGTATCAGCTCCTCTTAATCATAGCTGGTAATTGCAATTTAGAAATAATTAAAATATACCTGGAATCATTTAAGTGATATGCAATAGGCTACTATGTAAAAATATCTGAAAAGAAATTTAATATTTCTAGTTTAATTCTTGATTTATTTTAACATTTTTAATATTTAGAATCATTAATATAATTATGGGAAACCTATCTCAACTATACTTTTTACTAAATTATAAGAAATATAAAATATAATTCCTTCATAATAAATTATAAACTATGTAAATATATATCAAACATATCCCACGTATTTGAAATATGCCCAAGAAATATCACTATTTCATAATTCTGCATCTTCAATTATAATGGTAGAAGAAAATATAGTATACATCAACAGTATTATTGAGCTACAACTATTTTCTAACTGTACTAGGAACTTGAAAAATTTTATGTTACTAATGCAGTATTCTCTCATTTTCCATTTTTTACTTAACTTCCAAATTGTGGCTCATTTGTCTTTCCATCTAGCCCCAGTAAATATGGTCTATAACCTGAATAATACTGATAAATAATAGAATTTGCCTTGACTTTGGAAATTTAAGAATTTTTTCATTCGGAAGAGCAAAGGCATGTAAATCCTGGGCATCCATATATTTGGCATTGCTTTATTCAATTATATTTGGCCTGTTTTTCTTCTGTATTATTCTTGGTCTCTATAAAGTCCTTAAGAGGGCCAGGCGTGGTGGCTCACGCCTGTAATCCCAGCACTTTGGGAGGCTGAGGCGGGCAAATCACGAGGTCAGGAGATCGAGACCATCCTGACTAACATGGTGAAACCCCATCTCTACTAAAAAAAAAAAAAAGAAAAAAAAATAGCTGGGCGTAGTGGCTGGCGACTGTAGTCCCAGCTACTTGGGAGGCTGAGGCAGGAGAATTGCGTGAACCTGGGAGGCAGAGCTTGCAGTGAGCAGAGATTGCGCCACTGCACTCCAGCCTGGGCAACAGAGCAAGACTCTGTCTCAAAAAAAAAAAAAAAAATCCCTAAGAGAAGGCACATTGTTCAGATCTAGTCTGCCGCTAAGGTTTTGTATCATTTTTAAAATTTTTTTAATTCTACAGAATAATATAAATGATTATATGAAACGTTATTGTAAAGACCATTTTAAAGAACTACTTGCCTGAAAGGAATGTCTTGGAGTTTACTCTGGAGGTCTTTATGCATAAATTGTTTGCCAGCTTGGAAGTGAATCAATAAAACTGTTGTGGAAACGTGTCCTTTCATCTTAAAGACTCCAATGAAGAACTTTTTAATATAATCCTTTTGAAACATGGAATATTTGGAAGCTTCATTATGATCATTCACATGACTTCATGGGCATAGTCCTGAAATTATTTTAAGTACATTCTAGAAAAATATCCTTGTTTTGGTCATCTTTTAACAACTAATGCGCAAACTCTATCGAGTTCCCATTCCCCAAATATACTTTTTTAGTAAAATACTCCCAAAATATGGAATATGTTATAGTCTCTTTCTACTCTTAATGCCATATCTCATACTTTATAGCTTTCTTCTCTGAAGATTACTGTCAAAATATTACTCTTCTTACTGTTGTTGTAATCATTGACAGAGCAGGAGTACCATCATCTCAAATAAACACTGCCACTTTAAGTTCCAGCTCCCTTCCTAGCCTCATGGATTTCAAGGAAATCAATTCTCTTCTAACTACAAGCAGCCAGAAAGAGCAGACAGTAAAACACAGATGAGACAGCTTGGGCACAGAGGAGGTGGCAGGGGTGGGGGGTGTCGGGGGAGGAAGTCTCTTGGGTAACTGCCAAACTTCACCCTCATACAATGGGCCCCAGTAAAACAGTGGGCCTTTATAAGCACATTCCTTTCCCTTCAGGTGCACTAAGATAGTGAAGCTAAAAGCAGACTCAGGGAGTATGCCTGCAGCTGCAGAAAGATTTATGGAAACAGACACAAAACTCTCCCTCCCAGATAAGCACAACAAAGAGACACAGAAGCAGTCCAAGCCTCTGATAAACTCTCCCACCTCGAATCCTTAAAAACTCTTAACCTGTAAAAGAGTGGGCTCTAACCTAACTCGGTCAGAAGCCCATCTTAGGTTTGTTTTCTCTAAAATAAACCTATCCTTGACTGTCCAGCCACCTTTTGTGTTTCTTTCCTCTTTCTTTAATTCTTACAATCATGATCACCATCATGATCTCTATATTATATCTATAACTATATACATATCTATATCTATACATTTACCTATAATGTCTTACCACACAGTCCAAGCTCTGAACTACTATGCAATAATAATGTTTCTTGTAAGTAATGTCTAGCCTTATTATAGAAAACACATGGAAACAACAATTTTTTTTTTCTGGAGAAAGTACAACAAATTTAAATACTGCTGTGAGAAATGTCATTGCCTTTCTTAGAGGTCTTTGTTTTATAATAATGATTTGTACTGTTTCTTTGCCAAAAGTTCTTATTCATGTATGTTCACGTAAGCATAATGTTAAGTTACATATTTATAAAAATCCAAGTCAGAATGTTCCCTGCCTTGCAACAATGGTTGGCCTATTTTGCTTCTAGTAGTTTATCTGCTGCTGATGAAAACAAAACCTCCATTTTCCTATCCCTCAGAAGACTGACTTGCCTATTTTAGGTACCTAATGTTATTTGTCAGAGGAGACACCTCTACCTTCAGGCAGTGAAGGCAGAATCTGGCAAGGCTATATATAGAAAATAAAATGAGACTTAAAATATTTGACCCTATTATTGAACTCAATTGCTTGATGTGTAGTGATTTCAATCAAAATATCTAATTATAAATTCACTCAGAACAGGGAGTCTAAACCAATTTTGGTAGAGCTTAAACAAGTGCATCATCTGTATTTACGCCATCTACCTGCTATTATTTAAACTATGTCTTTGAAAATGAAATAATCATCATACTGAGTCCATTTTAATTTCCTTAATGTTATTTCAGAATATTTATATTTTTTTAAAATATTATTTTTCCACCTTTAAAACCTATTGTCACTATAATATCACATCACTCTCAGGAAATTTGCCCAAGATATTTTATAGTAGCATTGCCTATTATCATAGACAGCAATTCTCACAAGAACATGAGATGATAATTCATAGAGTGTGATTTTTTTAAGTTTTCCCTGGGAAAGCTGGTAAAGGAATGAGGAGTCAGACAAGGTAGGAAAGAAGATTAAACAAGAATGTGGTATCAGACCAGGCAAAGTCCAACAATGTATAATTTGGGCTAAATTATGTAGAAGTGTTCTAGGGTAAGTGTGAGTCACATCCCCAGTAAACTTTAATAAAGGGAAGGGCGTTGGATTATTCTACCTGCTTTCTGCTGGAGAAATGTGAATTCCCAGGTACTTGTGACTCTTCAAGCACCAGCAAAACAGCTTCTGGAAGCCTGTGGGAACTTTCTTAAAAAGAGATACAGGTGAAGGCTGTTGGGAGTGTGATGAGTTTGATAAAGAGTGTGAGAATTTGGGACAAACTGGGTGAGTGCTGATCAGTCTGCTAAATTCTGCATTACACAGTAAAATTGTATCCAACGTTTCACCCTTTATCAAGCTTTACCACTTCCTAATGCAAATATGTCAACCTAATTTTCACCAGATTAGGTAATTTTACAATTTAATTTGTTTTTATTAGGTTGACAGATAGTATAATGATCTCCCCAGGACTTTCTTTTTTAAGATCCTGTTTCTATCTACCTGATATTAATGCTAGGATACCTGTAATAGAAATGGTATTACTACCACTACTATGGCTACTGGTATTGTTACTATCATTGTATGGGCAGATAACAAATTAATACTTGTAAGAACTTAGATATCTAGTGTTATTTTTATTTAATTGTTGTACTTTTTTTTTTTTTTTTTTTTGAGACGGAGTCTCACTCTGTCACCCAGGCTGGAGTGCAGTGGCGTGATCTCGGCTCACTGCAAGCTCCACCTCCCGGGTTCACGCCATTCTCCTGCCTCAGCCTCCCGAGTAGCTGGGACTACAGGCACCCGCCACCATGCCTGGCTAATTTTTTGTATTTTTTAGTAGAGACGGGGTTTCACCGTGTTAGCCAGGATGGTCTCGGTCTCCTGACCTCATGATCCACCTGCCTCAGCCTCCTAATAATTGTTGTACTATTTTTAAGCATATTTAGAATTGACTGAACACTTGTTTTCTCCAGTGTTTTAAGTATAGTATTATAAAAATCTGGGCCTATCATTAAATAATATGTGCATATTTTTTCTATGAAGATATATGCATATATTGTTTGGATTAAAGTAAAAGCAGGGGAAAATTTGCTGGTAAAGAATTAAAGCATTTACTCATGTGTGCATGGAAAAGAAACAGTGATTTACAAATATTTAACTATCTATACACATGCATCCATATTTCTATTTTTCCATCCATCTATGCATTTGAATATTACTTTTTAAACTCTCATGTAATCTTTGAAAATCTTTCACTTTGCATATTTTGTAGCTTTACTTAGTTATATATGTTGTTGGATTAAATAAATGAAATCTCACAAATTTTTCCAATATTATTTATTCATTATTTACTATCATGTCACTTAACTATTTGATCCTTTTAAAGCTTATATAAACTAGTCACATCCAATCTACTCCTTCTTTATTTTTTCCTCCCCTTTATTTATAAAATATCTTAAAGAGTTACTGGTTATTGTGTAGTCACAGCTTTTTAATCTTGTCTTATTTTCTTAATTCATCTGCATTTTTTCCAAATTTCCATGTCAGTATCTTCCCAAATTTGAAGTTCATTTTTTTTCTTTTTAATGTTTGTGGGTACATAGTAGATGTATGTATTTATAGAGTATATGAGATATTTTGATACAGACATGCAATGTAAAATTAGCGCATCATGGAGAATGGAGTATCCATGCCCTTAAGCATTTATTCTTTGAGTTACAAACAATCAAATTACACTCTAAGTTATAATATATAATTAAGTTATTATTGACTATAGTCACCTTATTATGCTATCAAATATTAGGTCTCATTCATTCTTTCTGTTATTTTTGTACCCATTAAACATCCTCAACTCTCCTCCATCTCCCCCTCAACTCTCCTCCATCTCCATCCTACCCTTCCCAGCCTCTGGTAACAATTCTTCTACTCTCACCATTCATGAGTTCAATTGTTTTAATTTTTAAATCCCACAAATAAGTGAGAACATGTGATGTTTGTCTTTTTGGTGTCTTTTGGCTTATTTCACTTAATATAATGATCTCCAGTTCCATACATGTTGTTGCAAATGACTGGATCTCATTCTTTTTTATTCTGAATAGTGCTTTATTGTGAAGTTCATTTTATTACTTAATTTTTATTTGCAGTGTTTCATTTCTTGGCCAGTATTAAAAACAGCTCGGAGAAAAATTGCTCACAGCCAGACACTAAGACAATGGAATTGTTCCTGTTTGTTTATGATTCTTGATCTTATTTGCAAATCATCAATAGCCCAATAAACATTTGGATTTAAATATTTCCTGAACACGATGACCTTAAACATTCTCTTCAGCTTGACTAAACTTTAGACAGCTTTCTTCCTGAGTATAGGCTCCTAACCTCTCTTTTCTTCGAGTATTCATTTTAGAAAACTTGGAATTGTAAATTCTTTCTCTGCCCCTTTGAAATGTAAATCTTCTCCCAGTCTCTTGCCAGTTTTACAACTCAGAAGTATTTCTCAAGGAACCATCCCATTAATAGGTAATCATCAAGAAAGATAGGGCCCCTATCTCTCAGTCTCTGTGGAAGGGTAGGGGCCTAGCTTCACTGAGCAGAATTAGCAATCACAGATGGCATATTAATCTTCCCCACTAACATCCCTCAGGACTTTCTACTAGCTTACCCCACTAGTTAAAACTTCCCAGCCTCTCATTGGTTGGGTTCAATCTCTTATTTCAATAATCTTGAAAAAAGTCTCCCCAGCCCCTCTAACCCATCCAGTGTTATTTATCTTTAACAAAAGAAAAATATATTTAAAGATAAACAATTTTAAAAGACAGTTTGGATACATTGTAAATATATGTGTCATATTTACATAATATACATAAAACCCCATGTTCTACTTCAAAATAGCTATAACAAAAGGTTTAAAATGTTCTCAACCAAAGAAATCATGAATGTATGAAGTGATCAATATCCTAATTGCCCTAATTTGATCATTACACATTGTATGCATGTATTAAAACATAGCATGTACCCCATAAATATGTACAATTATAATTTGTTACTAAAACAGTTAAATGACAATAAGATTAATAGCAGTTAATAGTTTAAAATTTTTAAATAATACCTTAACGATATAACTCACATTCTATAATATTCACTCTTTTAAAGTATATAAATTAGGTTTTTAAAAATATATATTCACAGAGCTGTGGGAACATCACCACTATCTAATTTTAGAATATTTTTTATCACCCCAAAAGAAACAGTATATCACCCCAAAAGAAAGAGTATATCTATTAGCAGTCACTTTAAATTTCCTTTCAACCTGGCCACTGGCAACCATGGATCTGTGAATTTGTCTATTATGGACATTTCATATACATGAAATCATACAATATCTGGTATATTTTGACTGTCATTTTTCACTTGTTTTCAGAGTTCATCTGTGTTGTAATATATGTCAGTACATACCAATCTTGTTTCTGAAAACTGCAATACAATATATTTTAAAATTCCACCCTAGATTTCTATTACATAGTCTTACATATTTCAGACACAAGTCCTTCCTGGTCTATCCCCATAATGGAATGTCAAAAACTGTTTAAGTTGTGTTTTAAATAGGGCAGGAGAAAACAAAGCTTATCGCCTAAAGGAAAGGAGGTATTCATTGTAAAATATGAGGGATATACCTGAATTAATTTGGAAGAAAAAGGGAGAATTCAACTTCCACCTATGTGCCTTCCATCCATAAATACTTAATAACCAGATATTTAATTGATTCAACTAAACCAGTATTCATTCTCTGTTGAACCTGGGCAGTGGGGAGAAATGATGAATACTTGTGCATGTGTCAGCAATATCCAGAGATTCTCACACTATGTGGTTCCCTCAATCAATGATGTAAAAATACAAAATAGAAGTTTTAAAAAATGAAGAAAGATTAATATTTATCAGGAAGAATATTTCTACCATATTATAAACATTTGTAAATATCCATCTCCATCTTAATCAACATGTTTGGGAGAATTAGGAAAAGTTAAATGTCCTGTTCATCTTAAAATAGTCTTCTGTGTAAAATAATAGTCCAATTACTGTACAGGGTTTTTAGCCAAGTAATCTGCCTCTCCTATTAAATAGGAATGGTTCCTGTCAATCAGATAAGTACTGCAAATTTATTAATTTTTTTAGAATTTCAAAACATATACTCCACTTCTGCATTGTTTTCTGTTGTGACTTGCTAATGCAAAGCTCCCTAGGCAACACATCATACCATAAGATATAGCTGTAAGAGTATTTTTAACATTTTCATGCCTCCACTTTCATCCAAGTTTATTGTCAAAAAATTGCCTTTCTATTGTATTTTTTAATAAAGTAACCATATCATTAAGACTACTAGTGCTCTGTCTGGATGTTACTTCAGTTTCATTTATCACCTAGGTAACAAAATAAAGTCCAGTATTGTCTGTTAAGGATCAACGGAGAAGCCAATTTAACTAATACGTGTGCACACACACACACAGACACACACACGCATACACTTAAATTACTTGCATAATAGCATATTCTAAAATGCAGCTTTGTTTTAAATTTAACAATTCAGCTAATGGAGTAAACAATTTATTGAGGCAGTACCTTGAAAACTATTGCTTGGCATCAAATCTTAGAGCAGCTTTTAACAGCAAAAGGGACAAATAAGTTTCAGAGCTTCTGCTTCTATCATAGTGCAAGTGAAGAGCAAAACTCACGTCCTTGAAAATCTCTTCTCCCTTGGCTTGATAACACTGTATTTTCTTTTACCTCTGCTTCATGCTCTCTCTCTAGCTCTCTCCCATGTTTAATAGAAATCAACATGCTTTTTCCAGCCCTAGTCTCACTGTATTTTCTTATACACTCAATACTGCACACCTGCTCACTCTGCTGCAGTCAGACTAAACTAGCTGCTCTTCTGGAAACCCTTCATAAGCTTTTTTATGTATTTAACACTTTATAGGGTTTCTTACAGGCTGGACATTCTTGTCCTTTACATTATTCTGTCATTGTCAAAGCAACTACATACAATATGTACTATTATTCTGCCCATTTAACAGATGAAATAATTAAGGCACAAAGAAGTTAACTTTTCTAAGGTCACCCACTTAGTATGCGCTGAAATCAAGATCCAAATTCAGGCTGTCTGTGTTTTTGACTATTATTTTATGATGCCTATCACTAGGATAATTGTCTTTCTTCCTATTCCAAATCCTACATTCATTGTTGGAGACACTGCAATGTTAATATTCTTGACATCTTCGTCTTGGTGAATATCCATCTTCAATTTACTTTATCAATGCATTCCTATGGCCTATCATAGATTTTGTCATCATTTAGACTTGCTGCATATCAGACTGTAAACTGAATATCCCATATTTGAATCACATACTTTATGACTTCCCTTACCTATATTCACCACATTTGTAGATGGCCTCACAGGAATTTCCATTCTTTCCTGTCTCACTTATTTCTCAATTTAGTTTGTATTATATGTTTATGTGGCCTATTTCTTCATCCAATCTCTTGCCAATTGTAGAAAACTTGCTCAAATATTTTCTGCATCAAGCATTTGGATGAATCTTATCTCACCTCTACCTTATTCCCATCTGTATCCAAGTTGCTGAAAAACAATGGTGGGAAAATATTTATCAAATTGATTATGATACAAATTTGTGTTTAAATTTGCATTCCAAAAGTTATATTTGTGATGTGGGTCCTATAATATCAAATTTCCTACTAGATGAATCAGATATCTCAAAAAATCAATATTTTAATTTTAGCTTGACTAGTTCTATGCACTTAAATGCTGAGATTATATAATTGAAGTGCCTAACGTGGTCAAAAACCCAACAGATGCCACTCATTTAAAATAAATCTAATACCATGTAATCACTGCCTATTGTGTTTGATGAGAAAAACTTGACTCCTGGAGCCCTTTTGTTAAAAAGGTCTGTTATGCCCTGCATGATCTGATATCCTGCCTGTCTCTCTCTCTGATGTTTAGTTTTATGTGCCAACTTGACTAGGCCACAGGATGCCCAGATTAAACATTATTTCTGAGTATATCTGTGAAGGTGTTTCTGGATGATATTAGCATTTGAATGTGTGGAATCAGTAAAGCAGATCTCACGCTACAATATGGGTAGGCATCATCCAACCATTCGAGGGTCTGCAGAAACAAAAGATGGAGAAGGGAGTAATAACATTCCCATGTTTGTTTTTCATGCCTCACTGCTTGAGCTGGAACATTTTATCTCCTCCTCTAAAACTGGGATTTACACCAATGGTTCTCTTTCTTTTCAGACCTCCAGACCAGGAATGAATTTCATCAGTGGCTTTCAGTCTCCATCTTGCAGATGAATTGTGGGACTTCTCAGCCTCCATAGTTAAGTGAGCAGATCCCTGATAATACACCCACCACCCCGCATCCCCCAACCCCTCGCCAACACACACATGAGGACTTCAAAATGTTTACGGAAAAATGGAATTAAAAGACAAAAAGTGAAAAAATATCAACTTTATTTATTAACATAAGCTCCATCAAGTTCAGCACACTTTTGTTAGTAATGATGCCAGCCATTTGGTCCATTCATAAAGTACTAAGAATCCTAGAATTTAACCATGTCGATGCAGTCTTTTTTACATAACTAACTAAAAAATAACGAGTTACTTTAAAGATAATTTAAGATTAAGAGACAAAAAGAAGTCAGAAGAAGACAAATTATGACTATAAGATAGGTGCCTGATATGGTTTTGCTGTGTCCCCATCCAAATCTCATCTTGAATTGTAGCTCCCATAATTCCCAAGTGTTGTGGGAGGAAGAGAGTGGAAGATAATCGAATCATGGGGGTGCTTTATCCCCATTCTTTTCTTGTGATAGCGAATAAGTCTCAGAGATCTGATGGTTTTATAAGGGGTTTCCCTTTTCACGTGGCTCTCATTCTCTCTTTGCCTGCCACCATCCATGTAAGATATGACTTTGCTCCTCCTTGCCTTCCATCATGATTGTGAGTCCTCCCCAGGCATGTGGAACTGTGAGTCCATTAAACCTTTTTCTCTTTATAAATTACCCAGTTGCAGGTATGTCTTTTCTCAGTAGCATGAAAATGGATAATACCATGCCTAATGATTTTCCATTGAAATTCTCACAAAATTGCCCTTATTCGATAAGAGGAGTGGGCAGGAGCATTGTCATGGCAGAGAAGGACTCTGGTCAAGATTTCCTGGGCATTTTTTTGCCAAAGCTTTGGCTAACTTTCCCAAAGCACTATCATAATAAGCAGATGTTATTTTGTCTTGGGCCTCCAGAAAGTCAACAAGCAAGAGGTTTCAGTATCTTAAACAAACAAACAAGGAAAACTGTTGCCATGACCTTTGCTTTTTGACCAGTCAGCTTTTGCCTGGACTGGGTCACTTTCATCTACCCATTGAACCGCTTCCTACCACAGAGCATTGTTTCATTTCTGCTTTGTCTTCAGGATTATACAGGGAAAGCCATGTTTCAACTCCTGTTACAGTGCTTTGGAGAAATGCTTCAGAATCTTGATCCTGCTTGCTTGAACATTTCCATTGAAATCTTGACCCTTGTCTGCAGCTGATCGAGTGCAACAGTTTTGGCATCCATTGAATGGAAAGTTTGATCAACTTTAATTTTAGTCAGAATTGTGTAAGTGGAACCAGTTGAGATGTCTATAGTGTTGGCTCTTGTTTCTGCTGTTAATCACGGGCCCTCTTCAATTATGGTATGAACAAGATCAATGTTTTCAAAAGGCTCTGATAGAGACTCTTTTCAAACTGTTTTCTTATCCTTCTTAGTGCTTTAACCTAGATCTTATTCAGATATGTTATAACAAATTATGATGGCTTTATTTTGGTCCAAAAAATGTTAAATTTCATGCATTGCTTTTCCTAATATGCATTTTCCATGAACTTTTTGAGGACCCCACACATGTTTGTGTGTGTGTGTGTGTGTGTGTGTGTGTGTGTGTGTGTGTGTGTGTAGTTTTATCCTTTTGCTACTTTCTGTTTCTCTAGACACACCCTGACTAACAGAATCTCCCACCTCATCTTTCCCTCTTTCTTTCAATTACCATACTCCATATACCCTGATCTCTCTCACTTTATTAAGCAAAGAATGTCTTTCTGACCACAGAGCATGTGTTTTCTCTTTCTAAAATACTTTTTCCAGTAATTTCAACTACCTTAGCTACCTGGCATCCTTCATGCCTCAGTTTAAATAACCCCACAGTAGAGAATTCTCCTATCATCACCTGATGGCCATCACCATTATTCCTATCATTATATTTACTTTTATGTTATCTTTTCACCGCTTATGTATTTTTATGTGTTTCTGATACATCTCTTTTTGAGAGCACTATATTGTTAAAAGGAGCAATAAAACAAGAGCAAAATGTTTTCCATTTTACCAGAAATACTCAGCATATTGTCTGGTAGAATAAACACTCAACGAATTGTTGAAGAAATTCTGAGAACAAATGGTGAAGGACACCCCTATAGGCATCCCTACTCTCAGTCTACCACTGGGTCATAACATAGTCACCTCCAGTTTTGAAAATGTATCTACTAATTTTGTACTAAGAATTTGACCCAATTTGCTTAATATTTCCTCCTCTTTAATGAGTAAATAGTGCAGTTGGTTAGAGAGCTCTATAGCTTGTGCTACCACTATTATTGTGTGCTAGCACTTATTTTACTTTATTGTGATTGCATTTTTTTTCTTGCTTGAATTCTTTCCTAAACAAGAGCTCTGTGAAAGCATCATTGTAATTCCTGTACCTGAGCAGTACATCATTCACAAAGTTACACTGAAAGTACTGTTGAATAAACTGACTCACCTATCTTTCAATTTGGATTTCTTCATCCTGCAATATCTTCCAAATCCTTTTCTACCTGGAAAAATGCTACTTATGCACCAACATGGAAACCAAATAATCCTTTAAAAAAACTTTAAAATTCAGAAATATTTTAGTAGTTTTTCATACACATATAAAGACATATATACACGCTACATAAATGTTTAAGGGGATCATATAGTATGTGCTACAATGTTTTGAGTAGTCCTTTTTGGTTGTTTTCATTGTTCTTGCCTCCCAATGCCCAGATTTCTTAAGCATAACAATTGTCCATATCACTTTTACCCAGGCAACCATTCACATAGTTATAATGAAACATATAAGTGCATATGTTTCATAACAATGTTATTTAAAAATGAATTTGTGGAAAAACTCAAAGGTGTGCTTTCAAACACATGTAATTAAATGTACATAAAAGAATTTACTAAAAGTGTGAATCCTAGTGTTCTCACTATTGAAAACAGGTAACTATGTCAGGTGATGGATATGTTAATGAGCTTGATTATGCTCATAATTTTACACCTCTAATTGATATGAAATTGTCAAGTAAAATTGTATACATTTAAGATGAACAACATGATGTTTTGTAATGTTTACATTGAGAAATGGTTAAATCTAACAATTATGAACCAGTAAAACTGAAAAAATTACAATTTAATTCAAAAAAGTATTGGCATATTTTATAAAAATTGAATATATAATACATCAGTGGAATATAAAATATAAAAAACATTTTATGTACAATCATATGTACATATTTGAATGCATACATGGAGATTTTTCATGTGTGTTTTATGTGTGTATGGGCATATGTGCGTGTGCGTGTGTGTGTGTGTGTATGTGTTTATTCTTTACTTCTTCAGATAGAACTTTTAAGTCTCTGGTAATTGATGACAGTTATCTTGCCTAATTCCTGACTTTAAATAATAGGATTTTGAGAATATGACAAATTGGGTATTTTAGTATTTTTTCACAAATATAATTTATTGAAGGCCATTTCCCTGTATAATATTACAATGTTACTGGAGTATTATCTGGTATGAATGCTGGGTTTAGTAACTGCCTTTCAACATCTGTGGATGGAGGCATATTATTTATTGCCTTAAACTTTAATAAAATAGATTTTTTTGATAAATTTAATGCTGTAAATGCGTTTATATTAAAAATATTGATTAGCCTGTACACTTTTATCACTTTACTTTGCTAACATTTTATTGAGAATTTTTGCATCAATATTTATAGCAGAATTTGGTTCTTAGTTTGATTTTTATTGTGCATATAAAATTTTAGTAGTGTTGAATTGTATTAAGAAATTTTGCTAATTTAATCTCTTTTGTAGTCCTGGAATAAATTTAAGTGGCATTTGAATTATAAGTTCTTTTAAGGTTACCTGTTTACCATCTGATACTGATAAATTTTTATATGTAAATCTCTAACCAGTTTTCTAATCTCTGTTTAAATTAGGGTATTACAGTTTCCCATTTAATTTAGGCCAATTTATGTAACTCATTTTTTCTAGGAAATCATGTATTACCTGTCATTCAAGATTACAAATACTTGTGGCTAAGTATATAGATCATTTTTAACATCAAATACACACACACACACACACACACACACATTAGAAAGCATAATCATTAAGAGGTTATGACTATTATTAATTTGTTAAACTTTGAAAACATTGTTTATATCTACTAAACTTTTTATATTTTAGAAATTCATATTAAGCTTGCAATCATAAATGGAATCTCATCTTTCCTGTTTGTTCAAAGTAGACATCCAATTTTCTCACATAAAACAAATTATTGCAAATTGAAATTGTCATATATAATATACCTATGAATTTGATGTTATGTTTTAATTCATATTCTATATTGTTCTAATATTGTTGTCACTACTGCCTTTTTGTATTCTCTGGCTGAATTTTCCATAAATTTGTTTTATAACACTTTTTAGATGGCATTGTTTTATATGTTTATTATGCTAAATAAATAAACATAATTTTTCCATTTTTAGTTTTGAACAATTTGGCATTCTTTATATTTTAACAAGAGCCAATACATGCCAAATGTAATGATGGGTAATTTTAAAAATTATATTTATTTGTTTTAATGTTGCATTTTTTAACTATTTTAGTAATTGTTGCCACTCTTCATCATTTTCATTTGTTATTGAAATAGCTATTCATTTATTTCTGTTTGTTACTTTGAAAAGCTCTATTATACTTTCTGATTTTATTCATGATTATTTTTCTTTTCTGACTCATAGAAGACACAGATTTCTTTACTGCCTTTACAAACAAGATACCCACTATTTTGCCTATTAAGCTGCACTAGTTCTACCGCCAAGACACTTTATCCCACATCCCATGTCACCTATTCAGTCTGTCTTTATATAACACAGGATGTATAGCAAAACAAAAAAAATTCTTTTGTCCCTTCCCATCATCTATATTTTTCTAGGATTTTGGAGTGAGAGGCAGTATATGTCTTATAGAAGCCTTATAATTCTCTTTCACATTTTTCCATATCTAGTTTTCAAATGAGAAACCAAATTGCAGTCTCATATATTGTATTTGACATATTTTAATATTGTATTAGAATCTTATTTTTTTCTGTCTTTTGAATTGAAGATTTGTTTCTCTATATTTTTCATGTGCATGTTTTCAGATGAGTTCTCTTGAATCTCAGGAAGACCTTTTGACTGCACGTTCAAAACTGTTTTTAGTTGAAATAGTTTTCTTCTCGGTTTTGTATTTTTATCCCCTCTTTTATTTTTTTTTATTTTTTATTTTGAAACTCGTGTTATTGACTTTTTAAAAATGTTTTGTTATGTATTCTACATTTCTCCTATCTCTTCTCTCATAATTTACAACTTATTATACTGTGGTTCTGTGCTTGAACACATCTGTTCTTGATCTTCCTGGTCACAAATTTGGGACTTAATAATAAACAACCAAATATTACTTCACATTAGGTATTGATTTTTAAAAAATATGCTTTGAATCAAAACAAAAAAAGTGTATTTTGTTTGAATCTTCTAAATTTTTTCCTCTTCAGTTTATTTTTAATTTGTTTCCTCTTCTTCTGATTTGATTAATTATTAGTCTTTGTGGACTTAGACCAATTGTTAGTTTTCTTTTCCTAATGGGGATCCCATTGTTGTATTACCTTATGACAAGTCTCAGAAAATGAAGTAGTTTTTCCCACTTATGTCTTGGCACAGTGGCCACAATTATACCCCTGGAGATTGAGAAATAATTATATCTGAACCCTGCTTTACTTGAATTCTTTCTATCAGAAGCAGGCAGTATGTGCTTACTAATTTAAATAATGCCTTGCTTTCTGCTGATTCCAGATGGATCCAGCAAAATTATTTCTGTGTACTTGAGAATATTCTGCTGCTTTCTGATCTTCCTCCGTGAGCTCTCTGACACTAGTCTGTGGGCTGCTGGGCCTCAGGGCAGAAACTGAAATAGCGTGCATGTGCTCAGATCCCTACAGACCCCATCCCTCATTCTCACGCGCCTCCCTTCCTGGTCCAGCAAGAACTTGACTCAGGAGATGTAGATAATTTGGAATAGAAAGAGAATAAAAAACAGCACTTTCTCAAAAGTCCTCTCATGAAACTTTCCTCATATCTCCTTGTTAAATTCCTTTTGTCAACTGTCAATTAGTTTAGTGTTTTTTTAAATCATATTTAGGCTCATAGTACATTGCAATTATTTATCTTGTGTCTTACTGTTCAATTTGAATTTCAAGAAAGAAGTACCAATGAACTCTCTATTGTTATATTGTGGTGACTTGTACTCTGCTAAGCAAAAGATATAAGGGTGGATACTAAAAATGTTCCAGCTTATATATGCTTATTAGGGCTTTATTGGTATAAGCATACATGTTCATGTTAAATAATACATTTAATTATTTGAATATTCTTTAGTGTAACCAATGTATTTATCACTCAGGGACAAAAATTATGGCATGCACTTTGTCGATATATACTAATAAATGATTGGATTACCTTACTATTAAGTATAAATAAATAATGCAATTTGTATTAAGTACTTTTGATATTTTCCCAGTGATTAAAAAATCATAATAGGTCTCTAATGTTTTTTTACCTATAAACTTTACACTTATGTTACTATCCTAATTGTTAAAGCACTTATCATATTTGGGAAAAGGTTTCCAATTTTAAAATTCCACAACTGGATTGGATCATTGATTGCAGAATGGATTAGATTATATGATTAGATTGGACCATCTAATCCAGGATAAACCAAGATAATTTTCATATATCAAAGTCTTTAATTTGGCTAAACCCCCACATCATATAAGGTGAAATATGGAGTCATTCTAATAATTAATCAGTGACACAACTGGGAGGACATTACTTTGTCTACCATGGGAATCAAATGAAATATACTAACTAGGTATTAAATGTGGCATCACATACTGTCAATACATTTATTTTTCCCAATTTCTCAATAAAAAGATGAATATTACTCCATTCTTCCATGACAGAAAGTAAATTCTCTTTATTCCTATGAGGATATCTTTCAGTAAAAATTCCTTAATATTTCAGAAAAACCAACCCCAATGTGGACTTCTAATGAGATTCAAACATTCCATCATATTGATGACATTCTGATGGTGGCACCATGAAGAAAATTGGCATATTGTAATGTATCTCATGCAGTCTCAGCTGACAAAATTAACATGTCATGAATCTGTCCAATTTTTTGAATTCAAGTACTCTTTCTACTTCTGAAAATTACATATATTTTTTTCATTAACTTTTAATCTTTTCCTTGGGCTTAGTGGAAAAATATTACCTCAACACAGGAAAAATGTTTCCCTCATTCAATACTTCAATATCAACAGGAGTATTTTTCAAGCCAAAATCCCACAAGGTGGGATAAACCCTAGAAAACTCAAAATGAAATAAAAATCTTGTATCCAATGAACAAACCTATCCCTTGATAATTTAACCAACTCTACTGGCACAGTTGTACTTACCCAGGAGGAAAATATATGGCATTGGCAAATTCTTCATTTAAACTTAAAGGAGTTCTGGCTTAAGGGGATTTTCACCTACAAGACTTAGTAGGTGAAAAAAAAAAAATCAAGGTTCACCTATGGAACATTCTTACTTGTGGTGGGGAAAAATCCAAAAGAATGCCTAAACAACCCATCAGAATAGTAGTAAAGTACTGCTAGTGTTTTGTGTTGGTAATTTTGTGCAGTAGGCTTAATTCTGGCTATGGCAAATGATAAAATATATCTTTAATCATGGGATATTGGCAATAGCCTAGCAGTACAATCAGTTTCTAGGTCATACAGTATAAGACTAGTAAAAGCATTGTCATACAACATATGCCATTATGAAGTAAAGTACAAAATCAAATTACAAACTAGATCTGATGTTACACATATACATCTGAAAACTGAACTATCAATACAGAATAGCTTCTAGAATATGCTTAGAATTGCACAACCATATGATTGGTAACTCAAAGAGCTAAGCCAACAACCAATATGGTTACAAAAGTAACATGAAATTATTGAATACCCAGTAAAAAATTTACTGGACACATTAAGATTATATAATGACACTTACAGAACCTTACCTTGTTCCATATATGTGGGCATGGGGCTCAAGGTGAGTTGAGCGTATTGCCATATAAATCTTGACCAGCTTACAATTTATTCGACTCCCTACCACTCCCATGGTGAATCAATATAACAGTTTCAGTATAATAAAGTGCTATATCCTTAATGGGTGACTAGCATAGATATGAAGGCATTGAATGACAACTTCTATCACATGATCTATATGAGATGTAAACATACTTAATGCAATCTTAACATTGAATGCTCTTCCTAGCTATTGCCAATCCCAATATATGATTTTCTAGTTATTCCCTGCCAATTACACCCAAATGCAGCAGGCACCATTAGGTCCATAAGTGGCTAACCCAAGGAATTTTCCAACGAAACTCATAAAGGATGAATACAGTCATACTCTGCAATGGCTTCACTACCTGATAAAATTCACAGATACCTCGAATTTTTAGAATAGAGAGAAAAAATTGAAGTCTATGTGATTTAATAGAACTGGCAGTGTTCATACACTGATAAATTTCTGCTTAGTTTCTTTTTCATCCAGATCCTGGCTAAAATTATGTATTAGTCAGGATACCTCATAGGTACAACTTTTGAGTCTTTTTTTAAATTTCACAATGACTTCTGGTTATCATATACAATGAAAGGATAACTTACTTATTGTCTCCAGGGTTCTGCAATTCTGCCATACACCCCATTCATAATGAAAATGTTGTGATGACTCTTAGGCCTACGCAATAGATTCCCTGTCTTTTGAAGTCATCATCTCACTTTTAGAGGGTCACACTTAGGAAGAGATTGGTACATACGTTTTCAAACTTTTAGGTGAAATCTCATTTTTTCAGGAAAACAATGATCTGGCTCCTTATGTAAGTAGATGACATCTCACCATCTCCACTGGTGAAATATGGTACATATGTGACCTTGACATAAAGACAAAAAGAACTTAATCTCCAATAACCACCCATGATTTTCCCAGCTGTAGAAGAGAATATCATTACTCTATTGGATATGTATTTAGTAAATAAATGTAGTGGTAAAAAAAAACCTTATCGTCACACTACTCCCTGAATTAACTTATGAACTAATACTACCCTGGCAGCAGCAGTCATCATTCATGGCATAAATTGATATGCTCAATATAATGCAGCAGCTCTCCTGTATTAATGGTGTTACTGGGTTTGGAATAAACACAGGCATAGAATAAATCTTACAACCCCTTGTTAGCAGCTCTCTACCATTTTTGTTATGTCTAGTTCGATTAATATTTTTAATGCCATTAAATTTAGTGTTCACCTGAAAAAAATACTAGTACCAGCATCTTGATTCACAAGGTTGATCTTACTCATATAACAGACAGCTCTCTGTGACATGCTGAATTTTCTTTTTTTGTTGGGATGTCAGGCTTTGTATTCCTTCACTTCTGCATAATGGAGATAATTCTAAGGAAATTTTCTGTAGAGTAATAAAGTTAATCTTCATAATCGATCACTTGCCTAGGCTTCTTCAAAATATCTGGGACAATTTCTAGATATTTATCCCTTGTAATTTTATATTTTATTATAAAAGCCCAATACATTGTATAAGTGACAGGTTTCATAATACGAAAAAATGTTCCCAGTTATTACAGTAATTCAAGACTCAGCTGGCTCGACCCCAATCCCAAGTTCTAGTTTTATGTTTTGTTTTATTTTAATGCAACTAAAACAACTTACTAAGTGAACAGAACTATTTTCCATCTATTTATAAGAATTTCTCCTCTAGATTGGCTGAGCTAAAATGAAATATAGAAACTTGTACACTTCTTTAGGGGAGATTGCCAATGAAAACTTCAAAGCTCTTATCCTTCCTTAAAGCTACTCTGCTCAGAAAATATATTTTCTATTGTTACCAAACATTGCATGGTTTCTCCCAAATCTGCATAATACATGCGCCTGATGAGAAGCTTCAGAGTATTGGGGTCACGAGAGACTAAAGTGAGACAAGTAACCCTATGATATAGTTTAGTTCCCTGTCCTCACCCAAAGCTCTTGTTGAATTATAATTCCTAATGTTGGAGGTGGGGCCTGGTGGGAGATGACTGGATCATGGGGGTGGTTTCCAATGGCTTGCTGCCATCTCTCTAGTACTGTCTTATGATACAGCTCTCATGAGATCTGATTGTTTAAAAGTATGTAGCACCTCCCACTTCACTCTCTTTCTCTCTCCTGCTGGCCTCATAAAGATGTGCCTGCTTCCCCCTCAACTTCTGCCATGATTGTAAGTTTCCTAAGGCCTCTCCAGAATCAGAAGCCTGTACAGCCCACAGAACTGTGAGCCAATTAATACTTTTTTCTTTCTAAATTACTCAGTCTTGGGTATATCTTTATAACAGTGCAAGAACAAATACACCCTGTTACCCTGATCATCCTCACTACTTATTTAAAGGAGTCTGGGAATAAGCAACCTTAGTAGTGCTCTAAAGTAGCCAGCTGAAACTATAGCAGATATGCATCCCACCAGGAGACTCCCTAAGAAAATCAATGGTCCTCATTTGGGAAAGAGCACAATCTCATTGCAAAGCTTAGGGTCCTGTAAATTTACCAGTGTCTTTCCTCAAATGCTCACCAAAGAAAAAAAAAAAGATAGTCAAGCAAAGCTATGGTATTTAAACCTACTAGAGAGAGGGACAGCACCCCCTTCACAGAATCTTGGCAGTATATCAAAACAGGGAAATTAGGAAAGGCTTTTCTGGACTGGCCAGAGTGATTTTGGAGTGGACTTCGTGAAGAAAGGCACTGGTTTTAATTTGACAGAGATTATAATATAATAATGTTGAAGAGCTTGGCACAGCAAGGTGAGGGTCTTGAAAGAATCATTGAGCAGAATGTTAGTTCTGAGAAGTAAGCTCTGTATTAGTCTTGTCTTTCTGAGCAAGAATTTCCTGGAGTGAGAAGCTAAATTATTTAAGTTTGGTTTCAGTATTGTTTAACAAAAGGAGGAAAATGTTTGCCTAGACTCAGAGACAGAATTTATGTTGCTTTCAGGTTTTACCAAAATCTCTATCTCCTTCTCAATCTCTCTAGACTACGTATGGGAGCAAATAATTGGGATGTCTTTTCTGGAACTCAGCCTTAATAACTACAAGTCTGTGTATTTGCATGGATCCTGATAGTCATGTTATTATCAGTTTATGTAAACAAAACTGCTTTGATCCTGCAATATACCCCATCTGTTACATTTACCCTTTCCCCTTTCCCAACATTAATTGTTGATTGCTCCATTACTACAATTCTACTCCATCTATTTTTTCTCTAGTCAGTCTTTTACCAAACACTCTATCAAAATTATTTTCACATGGCTGGGCACAGTGGCTCACACCTGTAGTCCCAGCACTTTGGAAGGCCTGGAGGGGGCTGTGGATTGCTTCAGCCCAGGAGTTCGAGACCAGCCTGGGCAACATGAGAAACCTCATCTCAACTATAAATACAAAAATTAGCCAGGTGTGGTGGCACATGCCTATAGTCCCAGCTATTCAGGATGTTGAGATGGGAGGACCGCTTGAGCCCAGGGAAGTCAAGGCTGAAGTGAGCTGTCATTTTGCCCCTCCACTCTAACCTGGGTGACAGACAGACTCTGTCTCAAACAACAACAACATATATATATATAATATATATATATTTTTTAATATATATAATATATATTTTATATATATTACATATATAGTATAATGTTTTGTTTTTCTTTACCAGTCACCTCCAAATTGCTAATAGAAAATAATTCTCTATCCTCATCTTTATTTTATCAATGGCATTTGTAACAAGTAATTACCTTTTCTTAAAAAAATAATTTTGAGAAATTAGTTTCAAGATATTCCCTTTTCTGTGATGCATTCTTAGCAAAATTATAAAATGAGAGAAAATAAACAGAAATAGAAGACTGGTTCTTTAGCAAAATACTATCCTCTTTTCATGTGAAAGCACTAAAAATATAGAACAGCAATAGAGGAAACAGAGAACCAATATGTTATCTCAGCAGATCGTCTGTCAGTTACATTTTTCAACTAGTGTTTAGTGTGGAACATCAGCAGCTTTTTAACTATCCTGGAATAACTACCCAAAATGAGCAAAACCAAAGATAAAACAGAAACAACAAAAATGTCACAGTGTAAAGCTAAATGTTTAACATATTCCAATGGACAGTGAAAAAAATTACATTTTATTTATCTTACATTTTGGTTTCTGGAGATTACTTGTGAAGCATAAATTCTAGGTACTGTGCCTATGTATGCTACAACATCCATTGTCCTATCAATCAGTTGATCATAAACTGGTGATGCTGCTCCTTTGTAGCAGAGAAAAAATTGCTAATTTGGCTATTACTCTACTGCAAAGCAGCTGTGATCACAACCTCCTGAGCACTGAAAATACTTCCTCCCAGACTCCTGAAACTTTCATATGAAAAACTTCAAAAAAGCTAAATATGCATATTTCATAACTTACTGAGATATATTTTGCATCATGCTGTTATATTCTGCAACTCAGCAAGAATAAATATCATATCCTGGGACTTTTCCCCTCATAAACTATGTTACAACAGTCAAGTACAAGATATACCTTTTTATAATCAATATGGTTCATTTGAGCTTAAGTGGCAACCCAGGGGAGAAAAGAAAAAAGAAAAAGCATAGTTAATCGAAGTCCTCCATAAATGTCATCGCCCCATCCTCTGTAAAGTTTATACATTTTCTTTTAATTTGCATAGAATTTTCATATTCTCAATGAAGTTACAAAAAAAATTCTACTTTTATTTTTAATCTAGAATATTGAGATGTTCTTTTCATCTGAAATATAGCTTTAAGGATATTAAGAACATTGATGTGATACTGTAATTTGGCAAACCTAATTTTGGAAGTCACTACTACCTATTAAAATTATGTGGATTAAAAAAGCTAAACATTGTAGTGAATGATAATTAAAAATATTTATCTGAAAAAATTGATATATTAGTGAAAATGGTATTGTCTACACTCTGTTAAATAACTGAACAACATATTCTTTTCAAATACTTCTTTTGCTTCTAAAATAATGTTTTTTTAAGTAAAACACAAAATTACTCATAGTTTAAAGTTATGTTTATATTTTATTAACAATACATTTGTAAACAATGATAAAGCTATATTTATATGTGCTAAATATTTGCACCAAAGTGGATGTGGAGATGGCACCAAATTAGTCACAGTCCAGGCTCAGCACTGTGAGCACTGTTGGTCTTGGCTGTTTTCAGCCATGAATGAGGGCATTTGATAAATTCAAGTATGTGCATTTATTATCTGGCATCATGAGGAAAACAGGTTTGGTCTTGGAGTGTACCGTTTAGATGTCACTGCTTAATTAGTCTGGTCCCAGGTACTGGTGGGGGACATAAAATATTCGGGAGGGTTCTTCAAACTATGGAATACCTGAGGCACAGGGCCTAAGGAAAAGGTCTTGCTTTCCTGGCCCTAAGCACGATTCTGATCCCAAGACTCAGTCAGCTTTCAAGCAGTGTGGGCGCTGACCTCAGTGCCACCAGGCTTTCTGTGTAGCTTGCTGTAGTGAAGTGTGATGTGACTCCATAACACTGGTTAGGTGCAAGAAGAAATAACATATACAGACCAATGTAAACCCAAATTACTTAGGAACCTCTACCAGATCTGGACTAAGTTATGAAAGAAACCAGCTCGTTTGTTGAGTCACATGTACACTTTATTTAAAAACACATCACAGTGAAATAAAAATTGCTGGATTCTCCAAGACCATTATCTCAGCCACCAGAGCACCCTGACTCAATGTGGTCTTAACAAGATTTATAAGACCCTTCATTTTATACATCTGGTGGGAGAAAAATCTCCACCAATCTTTTGCATTTCTCATCATGGTACTGACAACTCTTTGTTCTAATTCATCCTCTCAAGGATACATAAATAGTGAACAGGTGTGGGAGATGAGGATTGTGTTTACATTTCTATATAATTGTTTATTATTTTTTATTTTTTTGCAAGAAAATTAAGCCCAAATTCTCTAATTTCTGGTAGAGAAAAACATGATGTATAAAGAAGCCTTTTATAGTTCTTCTCCTTTTTCCCTGCCAAGTGGGTAAACAAAACCTTCTCTTAGCATAACATTCAGAGAATGTGCTTCTCTCCTCTCGTCCTTGTACCTTCCATTTGAGAGCTTTCTGTCATTGAAGCTCATGTTCCTGCAAAACCCAAGTATAGCAAACCTCCCCACAACCTTTCAAATTTTTCACAGAAACAGATTTTCCTTTGGTGATTATGGTCAATGACTATAAATAATAACCAAAGATAATTAATAATACCAAATGTAAGTACTCTTAACAATATTTATGATTATAGGCATTGTATTAAACACTTGAATTAATTGCCACATTTAACACCACAACCACCTCATGAGGTGGCTACTATAAGTAGAGGTGTTTCTAATGTACAGGTTATGTAAATTAGAACTAAAGAGGATGAAGTTACCCACTTTAGTCATTATTTTACCCTGATTTTTTGTTTGTTTTTATTATAGGGTTTAAAATTTTTAACAAGTTATTCGTCAATACTTCCTCATTCTACATCTGAAAATATGGCTTGTCTTTTTTGTGAGGAGCTTGAAATAACATTATTGGCGGTAATTTCTGCTCTAGTATTATGGATTCAGCCTTGCAAGAGGTAAACAAAAGGAAGGTTTCTTCACTCAAGGAGCTAATATTCTAATGTGAGTAGTAACTGTAGTATGAAAAAATAACATCAATGTTGATGCAAGTTAGTAAACCATTCAACACATTTTATCCTCATTGTATTTATTTATGGGATCTGGTGGAAAGTGGATGCTAGGTTCCATTCTTTATGTTATTTAACCTTTCTCATGATCCTATAATTTTGGTGTCTGAATAGCCTGGATGTTAGAATAAACAAACAATTTTCTATCTGAGAAATTATAGCCAAAGTCCTCAACTTTAATTTTATGCTCTTCATCCATAAAAATGGAAATGTGTCTTTCTTTCATCTATTCAGATGTATTTGACTGGTAGGGTAAATCTGTTCAGTTTGTCTCATCTATCATTTAAAGCTATGTTTATGATTATATTGAAGATATTATCAAACCGTAGGCTTCAAAGTTGTTTATCCTCTCTTTCAAACTTCATAGAAACTTTAGTAATTAAGACAATGGGGAATTAATAATATATAATAACACTCAGCAAACATATAGATCAATGCATCAGAAACATATGGTACAGGAATATACTCATACTTGCATGGTCAACGGAATTTTGACAAAAGGACCAAGGTAATTTAATGGGGGTGGATGACAATGTGTTCAACCAAAAGTGCTGTATATAAGATATTCATATTTTAAAATAATGAACTTCAAATCTTACCTCATACCATTTACAAACTTAAGTGTAGATCCTATACCAAAATGGAAGAGCTAAAAATACAAACCTTTCAGTAACCCATTAAAAAGGAAAATCTTTGTGGTTTTACTAATGACACCCT